>NC_000006.12:97192002-97343517 GCF_000001405.40 Homo sapiens | reverse complement strand
ACTATACCACCATTTATTTATTCATTGTCCTTTTAATGAGTGATTGAGCTGTTTTCAGTTTTTATCTACTATGAATCAAACAAATATAAACATGCTTTTTGTATCTGTATTTCTCTTGAGTAAATATCTAGGAATGAAATTGTTGGATTATAAGATAAACCTACTTTTAATTTTATAAAAAATTGCCAAATGTTTTCCAAGTAGTTGTACAATTTCATACACCTGTCAGCAATATGAAAGTTCCAGTTTTCTACATTCTCATCAATCATTGTTCTTGTCAAAATTTTTAGTTTTAGATATTTCTTGAGTATTAAACGGTAATTTACTGTGATTTTAATTTGCACCTCTATTATGATGTTGAGCACCTTTTCATATGTTTATTGGCCATTCATTTTATTCTTTTTGTTCAAGTATCTGTTCTAGTTTATTAGCTTTTTTATTGGGTTGTCTTTATTACTGATTTGTAAGATTACTGATATATTCTGGAATATATATTATTTATGTATAGGTACAGATTGACAGATGTAAATATTGCAAATATTTTCTTCAAGTTTTTACCTTGTTTTTATTATCTTAACAATACCTTGTGATGAGAAAAAAAATAATTATTATAAAATCCAACTCATCTATTTTTTCCTTTTGTGGTTGGGAATTTCTGCTCTTGTCTCAGGAATCTTCAAATATCCAAAACTACATTGATATTCTCTTATTTTTTTCTAGAAGCCTTTTCTTTTAGGTCTTAAATTTACATCTATGATACATGTTGATATTTTTATGTGTAATGTAAGGGGAAAAGTTCATTTTCCCGTTGGTTCTAGGACCATTTGTTGTAGATTTGACTTTTAATAACAGACTACCACAAATGTGTTTGATTCTATTCAAATAATCTATTTGCCTATCCTTATGCCAATAACAGACCTGTCCTTAATGCTATAGCTTCAAATTCAGTCTTAAAGTCAAGTTGTTTGTCTGAGTTCTTCAACATCGCTCTACTTCAAGATTTTTGTGTGTATGGCTATTCTAATTCCCATATGTTTCCATACAAATTTTAGAATCAATTTACCCGTTTCTGCTAAAGACAAAGCCTACTGGGATACTGTTGGTGATTTTAGTGAGTCTAGAGAATTTATAAAGAATCGACATCTTAACAATCTTGAGTTTTAATCTATGAACATGGTATATCTCTTTATTTCTTTTTATTTTTTATTTTTTGAATAAGGGTCTCACTCCATCACCCAGGAGCTGGAGTGCAGTGGCATGATCATGGCTTATTGCAGCCTCAACCTCCCAGGTTCAGGTGACCCTTCCACCTCAGCCTCCTGGGTAGGTGGGACTACAGGCACATGCCACCATGCCTGGCTAATTTTTTTTTTTTTTTTTTTTTGTAGAGACAGAGTTTTGCCATGTTGCCGAGGCTGGTCTTTAACTCCTGGGCTCAAGTGATCCACCCACCTTGGCCTCCCAAAGTGCTAGGATTATAGGCATAAGCCACCACACCTGGCCTGCAGTTATTTTCTTATGACTTATCTCTACAGAGAATGAGCTTATGAAAAACAGCCATTTTTATTACTAATAACAAATTAAACTGGTTCTTTAAAAGTATAAATTTGTTTTTGTTTGATAAAATCTTACATGACCTTGAAAAAAACTGTAAGATTTTAAAATTTAAGAAAACCCTTGAGGTCATTTGACTCAATATTTTTATTGAAATTATAAGTCTTTAAATAAAGATATAAAATATTCTTATAGTTACATTGGAATTGGCTTTCCTCATTTTTTTTTCAGTTGTAAAATAAGGGAGGAGAATTGTTGGAAACTATTCTTGTGATGGACGGAGTGGCTTTGGAGGGTCACAATGCATACTATCAAGGGTATAATACGTTTTGTGTTCAGTTTTCCAAGCTATTAATCAGGTATTCCTGTGTATTCAAAAAGCACTAAAGAATTTACAACATTTTATGACAGAATATTTGGTTTTTGAATTAATGTGTTTTATATATCTTTACTTTGGATGCTTATGATTATAAATATAGATGCAAGATAAGGATCAAAAAGATTTATTGGATCTTGTTTAAGTTGATACCTGTAGACTGTCCTCAGTTTTCCTGTATGTTAGAAAGAAAAGCATTTACCGAATGGAACACTTAAAAATACAGCAACATAGTGTTTCTGGGGCATGAGGGTCAGCTGAATCTATATAATTAATATCTAGGTGAGGGGTCACAAGCTTTTCCTTTAAAGGGCACACCTTTGCAGGCCATGCTCAACTCTGCTGACAGAGCATTAAAGCAGCCATATAAAGTAATATGCAAATGAATGAGCATTACTATGTTCCAACAAAACCTTATACACAAAAACTGTAAGTGAGGCCTGATTCAATTCACAGGCATTAAGTTTGCCAGATCTTGATCTAGATTACATCTCATCATACAAAGATATGTTGTACATCATGCAGACATGTTACATATGCATCATCATACACAGATACACACACTCGAATATAAAGTACTATACTGAGTATTTCAGGAACTGTGTTCTGAAAGTGAAAGAATAATCTAAATAATGGAAAATTTCCCCTTACTCTGTTTCTTTTCTATTATATGATTAGTGATAAAGTTATTTGAGCCGTATCAAAGATAATACACTTTTTCTCTGTGGATATTTTATTATCTTTCAAACAACTAGACAACAATACCTTATACTTATTGTTTCTATGCTTATAAATCAGATAGTTTATAAATATTCATAGATGCAGACTATTCCCTACAGAATTATCTCCAAAACAATAATTATGCAAATTACTGATTGTCCAAAGCACTTAATTTCTTAGCAATATGCAGTCTGAACTAGCCTAAAGACAAGTTAATAAACAGTCTTTAAAATAAATGATAGAAGTGCCTTGTATCTATAATCAGTGATAAAGTTTAAAAACAGAATGAACAATCTTAGAGGCAATTTTTAATTTGATAAACACATACTAAAATTCTTCCATAAAATATATGAGAGATATTATAAACACTGCAAATAAATTCAGCATATCACAAATGCTATAATGTAATAACATCTCTTTCAATTATAGTGAAAAAGTAATTTGCCATCAGATTTGCTGAAAGAGCATTGTTTACCAATTTATATTTTTAATCCAACTGAGATCTTTTTTTTTTTTTTTTGAGATGGAGTCTCGCTCTGTCGCCCAGGCTGGAGTACAGTGGCGCGATCTCGGCTCACTGCAAGCTCCGCTTCCCAGGTTCACGCCATTCCCCTGCCTCAGCTTCCTGAGTAGCTGGGACTACAGGCGCCAGCCACCACGCCTGTCTAATTTTTTGTATTTTTAGTAGAAACGGGGTTTCACCGTGTTAGCCAGGATGGTCTCAATCTCCTGACCTCGTGATCCGCCCGTCTCGGCCTCCCAAAGTGCTGGGATTACAGGCGTGAGCCACCGCGCCTGGCCTCCAACTGAGATCTTAACCCTACTAGGATGTTAAAACATTTACTTTTGTGCTTTTTTCCTTAAAGAAATTAAGAGTTCCTAAAAGGAAGTGTCTTAGTCAGTTTGGGCTGCTATAACAAATTACCACAGACTGGGTGTTTTATGAACAACAGAAATGTATTTCTCACACTTCTGGAGGCTGGAATTCTGAGATCAGGTTGTCAACAGGGTCGGGTTCTGGCAAGGGCTCTCTTCTGGGTTGCAGACTGCCAACTGCTTGTATCTTCATGTAGCGGAGAGTAAGGAGAAGCAAGATCTCTCAGGACTCTTACAAGGGCATTATTCTCATTCACGAGGACTATACCCTCAAGACTTCATCTAATCCAATTACATCCCACAGGCCCTTTCTCACAATACCATCACATTAGAGGGTAGGGTTTCAACATACAAAATTGGAAATCAGAGAGAACAACAAACATTCAGTCCATAACATACATGTAATTCTAGTGTCTCTCCATACCAAATATATTTTGCAGGAGCCCTGAAAGGCTTTAAATTACACAGGTTAATCAGCTACAAAGGCCGTGCCATTATAACCGTTGATAACATGAACAATAGCTTTTACACAATGAACAGAGCTGATTTGGAAAGTTTTGTAACAAAACACATAAACCACATTTTTAAAAACATCAACATCCTTCTTTCACCAAGTCTGTTATAAAGATATGATGATCATTATTAGTAATGTCTAGTTGATTTGGCTCTTTTTCTCTTTGTTTCTTGACTCCAGTTGCAATGAAAACAACTATGCGAGTAGCTGAAACTTTGCTCAGTCACTCAACTCGACATCACAGATATCCAAAGGACTGAACATGTTCCCTGCCTCTAGTAGCTTATGGTCTAGTTGGCAAAAGGCAAAATATATAAGAGAAAATAAATAACAGTAATACATTGTTAAACAGAAGTTCAGAACAACAGAAAACTAGCATTTTAAAATGAAGAGAAACACAATTGTTTACATAGTTTATAAAAGGCCCTAATAATTGAGAGTTTATTTGTGTGATTGAACACATCTGTGTTTCTTTGCCATAAAGCAATTGAATTTTGATTTAGAGACATCCTTTAAAAGACTAGGTTTAGCAATAGGAGAAAAACTAATCATATGCCAAAATAAGTGAAAGAAAAATTGGAGTACATGTTGAGAAAACAGTATTATAACTAGTCATAATTAGTCAAAAAATATTTGAGAGACTTCTATGAGACAGGACTGTTTACTTGGATTTATTTATGTATTTATTTTTGAGACAGAGTCTCACTTTGCCGCCCAGGCTGGAGTGCAGTGGCACGATCTCGGCTCACTGCAACCTCCGCCTCCTGGGTTCAAGCAATTCTCCTGCCTCAGCCTCCTGAGTAGCTGGCATTACAGATGCGCACAACCACGTCTGGCTAAATTTTGTACTTTTGGTAGAGATGGGGTTTCGCCATGTTGGCCAGGCTGGTCTTGAACTCCTGGCCTCAAGTGATGCTCCTGCCTCAGCCTCTCAAAGTGCTGGGATTACAGGTGTGAGCCACCGTGCCCAGCCTCATCTTTACATTTGAGTAAATTTGCTCTGTTTGGAATTTAATTTCAGAGCTATGCCTTGTGCATAAGCTTCTTAGGGCAGCTTATTTCTACCCCTCTCCCTTAAAACCCTTCCATAAATTTTTACTATAATTATAATAAATTCCAACTCCAGTCTCTTTGCAGGACACATAGAGCCCCTACATGATAGGTCTCTACATACCTCCATGTCATCTCTCATTCACTTCCTTCCCTTCCTAAATGTTCTATCTATAATAGCTCTCTTTATGTATCTCCTACATGAATATGCCAAGCTCATCCTTACCTAGAAGCCTTTGCACTTGCTGTTTTTTCTCTCTCTCCTTGGAAAGCTTTCTCTAGATATTTGCATGAGTGCCACATTTTTCATCCTTGAAATCTTGGTCCAATTTTCTGGACCAAGGTTATATATATATATATAAATAAGCTATATATATATATATATATATATAGAGAGAGAGAGAGAGAGAGAGAGAGGGAGAGTCAATAAAGCCAGCATAAAAAGGAAAACATCATATTTTTCTTATTTATTTTTAATATATGTTTATTAAGTCTGCATATAAGATACTCTGCTAGATGTGGGGTCACACACAAAGAGAAAGAGAATATCCCTGTCTTCCAATTTTTAAGATAAAAATGTATATGTATGTGAACAATTACAAGACATAAAAAGTATTACAAGAGATGCACATACATGATTCAGGGTAACAGAGGCAAGCACAGAAAAAGAGTGCCGGAATTTGCCTAGGTATGGTCAGAGAGGATTTTAAAAGAAGGTAAAGTCTTAGAGGGAGAATAAAGTATTAGCTGATCTAAAGCAGATGGACAAAAATTGAGAAAAATGTTTCAAGCAGAGGAAGCTCACTCAATTATTCCTTCAATCACTCAAGAAAAAAATGTATTAAGCCAGGCATAGTGGCTCACACATGTTGTCCCAGCTATTCAGGAGGCTGAGGTGGGAGGATTGCTTGAGCCCAGGAGTTCCAGGCCAGCCTGGGCAACACTGTGACACCTTGTCTCTGAACAACAACAAAAAAAAGTACTGAGCATTTCTTCAGCACTTCTTTCAGGGGCTGGAAGAATCAGAACAAAGACATGTATGTAAAGTAGCATGGAACATTTGGGAACTGCAGGGGTTGGAGTCTGGCTAAAAGTAGTAAGCATGATGAAGGAAGTAGCTAGATCATAAAGAAGCCTGTATGCCAGGCAGGGGATGAGGAGCCATGGAAGGTTTATAAGAAGAAAAGAAACTATCAGGTTTACATTTGAGAAAGATGACTTGCGTAAAATTCTTTTTTTTTTTTTTTTTTTTTTTTGAGGCAGAGTCTCACTCTGTCACCAGGCTGGAGTGCAGTGGCGTGATCTCGGCTCACTGCAACCTCCACCTCCCAGGTTCAAGTGTTTCTCCTGCCTCAGCCTCCCAAGTATCTGGGACTACAGGCGCCCACCACCACGCCCAGCTAAATTTTTGTATTTTTAGTAGAGACGGGGTTTCACCATGTTGGCCAGAACTGCCTCGATCTCTTAACCTCGTGATCCACCCACCTCGGCATCCCAAAGTGCTGGGATTACAGGCATGAGCCACCACGCCCGGTCGACTTGTGTAAAATTCTAAAAACAGCTACAGATTAAATTTTATGCTAATAAGAGTCATTAAGGTAAATGTACAAAAAACAAAAAATGCTTCTATATGCCAGTAATAAACAATTGGAAAACTAATGGAAAAGAAAATCATACTGACAACAGTGATAAAAATTCTAAGGTAACTAATAATAAATTTATAAATTTAACAAAAGATGTGCAAGACCTCATGCAACGTTTTAAAAATTGTAGAACATAAAAGAAATTCTAAATAAGTGAGGAAATATACCATATTTTTAGACTGGATATTTAAAAAGTTAAATTTCCCTCCCATATAATTTATAAATTCAAAGAAATTTTAATCAATGTCACAGCACAGATTTTCAAAAACTTTTATTGTTATCCTAAAATTCAGGCCAAGAACATCCAAGAAAAATTTAAAGAGCAAGGTAGAGGCAAAGAGTAGGGTTGTGTAAGTGGTACGTGGCTTAGTAGAATCATGATATTGGAAAACTGGTGTTTGTGCATGGGAAAATACAAAAATGACTTAATCTAATAGAAGTGTATATAAGAGGTGGTCGAGAGGCAAAATGAGTGGAAGAAAGACTTAGAAGGCTAGAACAATAATATAGACAACAAATTGTTAGCATTCTGCACTAGGGTGAAATAGTGTGGCCAGAAAAGAAGAGGTAGAGGTAGATTGAAGATATGGGCATCACCTACATATTTATTTTAGAAGAATATAGGAGGCTAGATGATGGTTGCCTAAGAACAGAAATTCTCAATCATGTAAACAGGGGTCCCTAAACCCCAGGCTGCAGACTGGTAGCAGTCTGTGGCCTGTTAGGAACCAGGCTGCACAGCAGGAGGTGAGTGGTGGGCAAGCAAGCATTACCACCTGAGCTCTGCCTTCTGTCAGATCAGCAGCTGCATTAGACTCTGATGGGAGTGAGAACCCTATTGTAAACTGTGTGTGTGAGGGACCTAGGTTCCGTGCTCCTTATAAGAATCTAATGTCTGATGATGTGACATGGCAGAGTTTCATCCTGAAACCATCCCCCACAATCCCCACCCCACCTGTGTCCCTGGAAAAATTGTCTTCCACAAAACCAGTCCCTGGTGCCAAAAAGGTTGAGGACCCCTAATGTAATATATTTTTTAAATTCTTATAAACTCCAGTTAACATAAATATTTGTTATTGTTTATAGCTCTTAATTGTAAAGGCAAAGCACATTTTCAAATTAAAATCACTCAAAAACTCCAAAATTAATAAAATTCAAATTAATAATATTAATTGAAGCCAACACATGATATTTACCTGAAATTAAATTGCTGCTTACAGGCCAGGCGCGGTGGCTCAAGCCTGGAATCCCAGCACTTTGGTAGGCTGTGGCAGGTGGATCACTTGAGGCCAAGAGTCTGAGACTAGCCTGGCCAACATGGTGAAACCCCGTCTCTACTAAAAATACAAAAAATTATCCAGGCGTGGTGGCACACACCTGTAATCTCAGCTACACAGGAGGCTGAGGCACAAGACTTGCTTGAAACCAGTGAGCTGAGATGGTGCCACTGCACTCCGGCCTCAGCAACAGAGCAAGACTGTCTCAAAAAAAAAAAAAAATGCTGCTTACAATATGAATATGGTTCAGACAGCTATTGAGGATTCTTTTTAATTTGGTCTGCGCATGCATCTACTATATTTCACATGATAACTCAGTTTTCCCATACTTTTCTTTATTCAAACTATAACAAAACCTTCACTTAATCTGTACCATAAATCATATGACCCTCACTAGGGATAAATGTCCCTTGTTGCCTGATGTCTAGTATCTTTAAAACCAGCATTATATGCATCAGCACCTTTACCACCAGGATCATCACGAAGTGAATTCAAGTCAGACAAAATACTCTTCCAGAGGAAAAGTTGCAAAAATAAGCATGTGACAATAGTAACGATTTGGAAAGCACACTAAATTCAGATCTAGGAGAACAAATTCAGTATTAACCCTAAAATTTAGATCAGATATTAGAAAAAATTATAAGAGAAGAATATTTGAATATTTTAAACATAGTAGAATCAACTTATTTGGAAACACTGAATGACCAAACTGATTTACAGATTCAGTGCAATCCCTGTCAAAATTCTAAATTTCTTTTTTACAGAAATACACAAGTTGATTCTAAAATTCACATAGAAGTGCAAGTAACCCAAGATAGCCAAAAAAATCTTTAAAAATAACAAAGTTGGAGAACTCATACTTCCTGATTTTAAAGTCTACTACAAAGCTACAATAGTTAAGATAGTGTGATACTGACATAAAGATAGGCATATAGATCAGTGGAATAGAATTGAGAGTACAGAAATAAACCCTTACATCTTTGGTCAATTAATTTTCAACAAGGATGGCAAGACTTTTAAATGAAGAAAGAACAGTGTTTTCAACAAATGGCACTAGGACAACTAGTATCCACATACAAAAAAAAAAATGAAGCTGGACCCCTACTTCAAACCACATAAAAAATAACTCAAAATAGATCCAATTCCTACATGTAAAAGCTAAAACCATAAAACTCTAAAGATAAAACACAGGAGTAAATCCTCATGAATCTGAGTTAGGCAAAAGTTTCTTAGTTATAAACAAAAGCACAGGTAATCAAAGAAAAAGATAACTTGGATTCATTTTCAAATTTAAAAATGAACAAAAGCTTTTAATGCAATTTTAATAAGAAACAAAACAACTTGTGTGTGTCAACGGACACTATAAAGAAAGTGAAAAGACAAACCAGCAACAAGAGGAACTATTTGCAAATTATATATCTTATAAGGCTCTAGTATTCATGATATATAAAAAAATCTACAACTCAGTAATAAAATGATCAATTCAAAATGACCAATTCAAAATTCAAAAATGGTTAAAGCGTTTAAATAGATATTTCCCTAAGGAGGGACACATAAATGCCTAATAAGTACACGAAAGGCCACTGAACACCGTAAGTTGTTAGAGAAGTGCAAATTAAAAGTACAATGAAATACCACTTTCCACACACTAGGATGATTATAATTTTAAAAATAAAACACAAAATAACGAGTGGCTGAGGCAGGCAGATCACTTGAGCCCAGAAGCTTGAGACGAGCCCAGGCAACATGGTGAAACCCGGTCTGTAGACCCAGCTACTTGGGAGGCTGAGGTGGAAGGATCAACTGAGCCCAGGAAATCAAGGTTGCAGTGTGCCATGAGCACGCCACTGCTCTACAGCCTGGAAGAGAGAGTGAGACCCTGTCTCAAAAAAATAAATAAATAAGTAACGAGTATTGGTAAAGATGTGAAGAAATTCAAACCTTCATACATTACTAGTATGAATATAAAACAGTGCAGTCAATATGGAAAAGTTTGGTAGCTTCTCCAGAATTTAAACATAGAGTTATCAATGATCCAGCAAGTCCACTCCTAGGTAAATACAAAAGATAAACGAAAACATATATGTCCATGTAAAAACTTGTACATAAATGTCCATAGCTGCATTATTCATAATAGCCAAAAAGTGGAAACAGCTCCCACATTCATCAACTGATAAACACATACACCACAAGATGTGCTACATACATAGAGTGGAATATTATTCAACCATAAAAAGAGAACAAACTACTGATACTTTCCACAATATGGATGAACCTCAAAACACTGTTCAATGAAAGAAGGCAAACACAAAAGGCTGTATATTGTATGATTACATTTATATGAAATGTCCAAAATAGGCAAATCTGTAGATACAGAAAGTAGTCATTTGTAACTGTCAGGAGCTGGGGAGTGGGTTATTATAAAAGTAACAGCTAACTCATACAGGGCTTCTCTTTGGGGTAATGGAAATGTTCTGGAATTAAATAGTAGTGATGATTACTCAACTTTGTGAATTTACTAAAAACCACTTTACGCACTTTAAAATGCCAAAATTTTTTTGTGTTTTTTTTTTTTTTGAGATGGAGTCTCACTCTGTTGCCCAAGCTGGAGCACAGCGGTGGGATCTCAGCTCACTGCAACCTCCTCCTCCCGAGTTCAAGCAATTCTCCTGCCTCAGCCTCCCGAGTAGCTGGGATTATAGGTGTGCATCACCATGCCTAGCTAATTTTTGTATGTTTTAGTAGAGACAGGGTTTCACTATGTTGGCCAGGCTGGTCTCGAACTCCTGACCTGAAGCGAGGAGTTTGAGCCTCCCAAAGTGCTGGGATTATAGGCGTGAGCCACCATGCTCGGCCTAAAATGGTGAATTTTAATGGCATGTGAATTATATCTCAATTTTTTTAAAAAGATTAAGTTGAGGCCAGGTGCGGTGGCTCACGCCTGTAATCCCAGCACTTTGGGAGGCCGAGTCGGGCAGATCACGAGGTCAGGAGATCGAGACCATCCTGGCTAACACGGTGAAACCCCGTCTCTACTGAAAATACAGAAAATTAGCCAGGCGTGGTGGCGGGCGCCTGTAGTCCCAGCTACTCGGGAGGCTGAGGCAGGAGAACGGTGTGAATCCGGGAGGCGGAGCTTGCAGTGAGCCGAGATCGCGCCACTGCACTCCAGCCTGGGTGACAAAGGGAGACTCCGTCTCAAAAAAAAAAAAAAAGATTAAGTTGAAAAACAACGACAAAATAATACATGTAATTGTATCATCCTTATAGAGGTTTCTAAATCTTCTATTGCTAAAAATTTTAAAGTAATGAGCCACCGCACCCAGCCTCTTTTCTGTGTTTTTATTCTCTAAATCCACTTACAACTGTTAGAGAACTAATGACGACCCATCCCATAAAATCTTCTCTGATACAACCCACCATTTGGTTATTTCTGTGAGTGTTAGTTTTGTAACTATAACTAGATGGCAATTTCTGGCTGCATGAACTACGTTACACTTTATAAATTTTCCCACAGTGCCTGACACAATGCTTTATTCATAGGGTGTACACCATAATTATTAATATAACAAAACATATTAAGGCAGCATTTCAAATAGGTGAAGAAAAAACGACATGGGGTAGTTACCTAGAAAAAAAATAACATTGGCGTTATGCCTCATATTCTATATCAGGATAAATTTCAAATGGAAAGATATGATTGTAAAACTGAAAGCCTAAAAGTATTAGAAGTAATGTGGGAGAAGTATCTTTATAATGTTGGTAGAGGAGAGGCCCATTTAAATATGACACAGAAGCTATAAATCAAAAGACTGATAAATTGTACAACACAAAAAATTTTAAATAATCTTTACAGCAAAAACCACAATAAGCAATGACAAAAGAAAAACGACAAGCTGGGATAAGTACTTGAAATTCATATCACAAACCAATAAACAGTAAAGAATACCTACTATTTGATAATAAATGACCCAATAGAAAAATAAGCGAACAATATGCACAGATAGTTCATGGACATGAAACACAAATAACTCTTAAATACATGAATAAAGAAATAAGAGTGATGATAATTAAAACTATAATAACATCACTCTGTATCTGGCAGATGGGCAAAGATACAAAAAATTCATAATACTGTTTGGCCAGACAGTTCAGAAACAGGCTTTTTTTTTTTTTTTTGAGATGAAGTCTTGCTCTGTTGCCCAGCCTGGAGTGCAGTGGTGCGAGCTCAGCTCACTACAACCTCTGCCTCTCGGGTTCACAAGATTCTCCTGCCTCAGCCTCCTGAGTAGCTGGGATTACAGGTGCCCACCACCATGCCTGGATAATTTTTATATTTTTAGTAGAGATGGGTTTTTACCATGTTGGCCAGGCTGGAGAAACAGGCATTTTCACATGTTGCTAGCCAAAGTGTAAACTGACACAACCTCTATGCAGTTTAATTTGTCAGTATCTATCACAGTTGCAAAAGCATATACCTTTAATCCAACAACATTACTTCAAGGACTTCCCTTGAAGACATAGATATTTATGGGTGAAAAGACCTATACAGAAGTTTATTCACTGCAATATGATTTGTAACAGCAAGATTGGAAATTACTTAAGTGTCAATACCAGATGACTAGTTAAATAAATTATGAAACATCCATAAAAGGAAATAGTTTGCAGCCATTAAAAAAAAAAAAAGAATGAGTAAACTTATGACCTGGGCTTTGAAATACTTTGCAAGATATGCATGTGAAAAAGCAAGAGTCACAACCTAAGTGTCCCTCGATGGTTGTTTTGTTAAACAAAATGTGGTATATATACACATGGAATACTATAAAAGCCATAAAAATGAATGAAATCATGTCCTTTGCAGCAAGAGGGATGGAGAGCTGGAGGCAAGATTCTGAACTATTTGTAGGATCTGCTACCATGTATGTAAAGTAAGCTGCACAACAGGTATGAAGGAAAGAACAATCCCTGCTTTGCTTATATTTGCATAAATTATCTGTGTAAGGATACACAAGAAACATGTAATATTTGTTGCCTCTGGGCATAGGAATAAGAATGAAACAATAATTTTCAAGGTATTTTCACTATGTTCCTTTCTTTACTTTTCAAATAGTAAACTATTTGATTATTTAAAATATATATTCAAGGAGCCAGGTGCAGTGGCTCATGCCTGTAATCCCAGCACTTTGGGAGGCCAAGGCGGGTGGATCACGAGGTCAGGAGATCGAGACCATCCTGGCTAATACGGGGAAACCCCGTCTCTACTAAAAATACAAAAAATTAGCCAGGCATGGTGGCGGGCACCTGTAGTCCCAGCTACTCAGGAGGCTAAGGCAGGAGAATGGCATGGCGTGAACCCGGGAGGCGGAGCTTGCAGTGAACCAAGATCGTGCCACTGCACTCCAGCCTGGGTGACAGAGCGAGACTCTGTCTGAAAAGAATAAATAAATAAAATAAAATATATATTCAAAAACATTTTTTATAAATCTTCCACAGCACCTGTATTAGTCTGCTCTCACACTGCTAATAAAGACATACACACCCAAAACTATAATTTATAAAAGAAAGAAGTATAATTGACTCACAGTTCCACATGGCTACATGGCTGGGGAGGTGTCATAATCATGGTAGAAAGCAAATAAAGAGCAAAGTCACATCTTACATGGCAGCAGTCAAGAGAGCATGTGCAGGGGAACTCTCCTTTAGGAAACCATCAGATCTCATGAGACTTATTCACTATCATGACAACAGCCCAGGAAAAACAACCATGATTCAGTTACCTCCCACTAGGTCCCTTCTACAACACATGGGGATTATTACAATTCAAGATGAGATTTGGGTGGGGTCACAGAGCCAAACCATATCATTTTGATCTTGGCCCCTGCCAAACATCCTGTCCTCACATTTCAAAACCAATCATGCCTGCCCAAAAGTCCCCTAAAGTCTTAACTCATTTCAGTATTAACTCAAAAGTCCACAATCCAAAGTCTCATCTGAGACAAGGCAAGTCCCTTCCATCTATGAGCTTGTAAAATCAAAAGTAAGTCGGTGGCAGGGCGCGGTGGCTCATGCCTATAATCCCAGAACTTTGGGAGGCCAAGGCGGGTGTATCACAAGGTCAGGAGATCAAGACCATCCTGGCTAACACAGTGAAACCCCATCTCTACTAAAAATACAAAAAAATTAGCCAGGCATGGTGGTGGGCACCTGTATTCCCAGCTACTCAGGAGGCTGAGGCAGGAGAATGGCATGAACCTGGGAGGCAGAGCTTGCAGTGAGCCGAGATTGCACCACTGCACTCCAGCCTGGCAATAGAGCAAGACTCCATCTCAAAAAAAAAAAAAAAAAGTAAGTTGGTGACTTCGTAGATACAATGGGGATACAGGCATTGGATAAATATACTCATTCCAAATGGAAGAACTTGGCCAAAACAAAGGGGCTACAGGCCCATGCAAGTCCAAAATCCAGCAGGGCAGTCAAATCTTAAAGCTCCAAAATTATCTCCTTTGACTCCATGTCTCACATCCAGGTAATGCTGATGCAAGAGGTGGGTTTCCCCCTCCTGGCTGCTTTCACAGGCTGGTATTGAGGGTCTGTGGCTTTTCCAGGGCACAGTGCAAGCTGTTGGTAGATCTACCATTCTGGGGTCTGGAGGACAGTGGCCCCCTTCTCATAATTCCACTAGACAGTCCCCCAGTGGGGACTCTGTGAGGGGGATTACACCCCACATTTCCCTTCTGCACTTCCCTAGCAGAAGTTCTCCATGAGGGCTCCACTGCTGCAGCACACATCTGCCTGGACATCCAGGTGTTTCCATAATCCTCTGAAATATAGCCAGAGGTCCCCAAACCTCAATTCCTGACTTCTATGCACCTGTAGGCCCAACATCACGTGGAAGCCACGAAGGTTTGGGGCTTCCACCCTCTGATGCAATGGCCTGAGCTGTATGTTGGCTTCTTTTAGCCATTGTTGCAATGTAGGTTACCAAGTCCCTAGACTGTACAAAGCAGCAAGGCCCTGGACCTAACTCACAAAACCATTTTTTCCTCCTAGGTCTCCCAGGTTGTGATGGGAGGGGTTGCTGTGAAGACCTCTGACATGCCCTGGAGACATTTTCCCCATGGTCTTGGTGATTAACATTTGGCTTTTCATTACTTAGGCAAATTTCTGTAGTCAGCTTGAATTTCTCCTCAGAAAAATGGGTTTTTCTTTTCTATTGCATCATCAGGCTGCACATTTTCCAAACTTTTTTTTTTTTTTTTTTTTTTTTGAGATAGAGTCTCACTCTGTTGCCAGGCTGGAGTGTAGTGGCATGATCTTGGCTCACTGCAACCTCTGCCTCCGGGGTTCAAGGGATTCTCCTGCCTTAGCCTCCCAAGTAGCTGGGACTATAGGCATGCACCACCATGCCCAGCTAATTTTTGTATTTTTGGTAGAGACGGAGTTTCATCATGTTGGCCAGAATGGTCTCAATCTCTTGACCTCGTGATCTGCCCACCTCGGCCTCCCAAAGTGCTGGGATTACAGGCATAAGCCACTGCACCCAGCCACATTTTCCAAACTTTTATGTTCTGCCTCCCTTTTAAACATAAGTTCCAATTCCAAACCATATCTTTGTGAATACATAAAACTGAATGTTTTTAACAGTACCCAAGTCACCTTTTGAATAATTTGCTGCTTAGAAATTCCTCCTGCCAGATGCCCCAAATCATCTCTCTCAAGTTCAAAGTTTCACAAACCTCTAAGGCAGGGGCAAGATGCTGGTAGTCTCTTTGTTAAACATAGCAAAAGTCACCTTTGTTCCAGTTCCCAACAAGCTCCTCATTTCTATCTAAGACTACCTCATCCTGGACTTCATTGTCCATATCACTATCAGCATTTTGGTCAAAGCCATTCAACAAGGCTAGGAAGTTCCAAACTTTCTCACATCTTCCTGCCTTCTGAGTACTCCAAGTCTCTAGGAAGTTCCAAACTTTCCCACATTTTCCTGTCTTCTTCTAAGTCCTCCAAACTGTTCTAACCTCTGCCTGTTGCCCAGTTCTAAAGTCACTTCCACATTTTCAGGTATCTTTACAGCAGCATCCCACTCTACTGGCACCAATTTACTGTATTAGTCTGTTCTCATGCTGCTAATAAAGACATCCCTGAGACTGGGTAATTTATAAAGGAAAGAGGTTTAGTTGACTCACAGTTCCACATGGCTGGGGAGGCCTCACAATCATTGCAGAAGGCAAATGAGGAGCAAAGTCATGTCTTGCATGGTGGCAGGCAAGAGAACATGTGCAGGGGAACTCCCCTTTATAAAACCATCAGATCTCATGAGACTTACTATCACGAGAACAGCACAGGAAAAACCTACTCCTATGATTCAATTATATCCCACCAGGTCCCTCCCATGACACGTGGGAATTATTACAATTCAGATGAGATTTGGGTGGGGACACAGAGCCAAACAATATCAGCACCTAATAGTGTTTGATTCATAGTATGCACTTAAAAAGTATTTACTGATTAAGAAGGGGAAATGCCCAAATAATAACAATAACCTATGTTTGCTTACAGTTTTTAAACTTTGAAATTCTTTTACATAAAGTATCATATTAAGATATGTAAGTGAACTATTTTTGTTAGTGACCTAAACACTCTGGACTACATATGAGTGTAGATATGAATTAATTTCTGAATTAGCTGGGTATGGTGGCACATGCCTGTAATCCCAGCTGCTTGGGAGGCTGAAGTGGGAAGATTACTTGAGCCTTGGAGGTCGAGGCTGCAGTGAGCTGAAATCACTTGTACCACTGTACTCCTGCCTGGGCAACAGAGCAAGACCCTGTCTCAAAAAACAAAGAAAAAAATTAAAATAAAAAAAGTTTAAAAAAGAGCTATATTTAGTTTGAAAATTAAGTTAAATTTTTAAAATAGCTTCTCAGGGTTCAAAGTAGAAATTAATTAATTAATTAAAATAGCTTTTGAGGATTCAAAGTAATAAATAAATAAAAAATTTCAGAAAGAATTGACCCACAAAAGTAATACTAACTTTAAGAATGCCTCCCCACCCCCATTCAACTTGAGATATTTTATGACTGCCTACACATGAATAAAATCCCCTGTAAGATTTTATTTAAAACTTTGGTATACTTGAGAAACACAATTCTTTTTTTAAAGTTTCTGCCAAATTGATATTTTAATTAGTATATTTTCTTCAGTTTTTTCGTAATTCTAGAACAATTTTTTGTTTGTTTCATTTTTTAATTAGAAAACTAAAATAGGTCTCTGAATATGAAGACTTGAGTTTGTTTTTACAGGAGATGTACTATATTATCCTCTAGTTGTAAAACAAAATCTGCTTCTTCCATCTGAGTAATGGCCTAAAAGCCTATTTTGAGGATTGCATAATATAACTTACACGATAATGAACAAAAAGAGGTTAGTGCTCCCTCTCCAACTCATCCCCTGAATTTAGAATTTGGTGGTTTCCAAACAAAATGTAAGATCTTATCATTTTCAAGAACTCTAGTGCAAGCAGTATTCTTTACTACCTAAATTTTAATGTATAGAAACCTTAAAAATCACAGACATAATTTTAAATAACATCAAAATTTTAATTTTAATTTTGATGTTATTTACATCATATCAATCACAATTCCAGAGGATGAGTGTAAAGTATTTATTCTCTTAGAGATCCCTGGTTTGGACCCAAACTACATTATCTTGAGAACAACTAAAACAGCTCTACCCTCAATTTGCTAATTAATCATAAATGTAGCACAGAATTAACTTTTCCCCCTCAGTCAACAAAGCTTTGAAATCACACTAGCATCTAGAGATGACCAATTCTAACAAGGGGATCCCCCCAGTGTATCACACATGGTGTGCCATGTGTTTGTTGTTAGTGAGAAAATGATGGGCTACGGAGTTTGGGGACCAGTTTAAATTCCAGCTCTGCCACTAAGCTATTGCATAACCTCCAGCAGAGTACTGTCCATCTCAGTCTGTTATCTGCAACATGAGGATTATAATATCTATGCCTATAGTAAGGGTTATAGGTACAAATTGCTAGGTACTTAACAAATAATAAAAATTGTGCCTATTATTACTTTCCCATAATAAACTAAATAAGTGTCCTTTGAGGGAAATTTGAAGGTCCACTTGACCTTCAAATCTAGGGTTAATTGAGGAAATAACACCATTAACTACAGTTATAAATTGCTATGCATGTGATTGACAGAAATCAGACCGTCAGGATGCTAGGTAGTTTGCAGCCACTGTTAAACGTAGGGACAGTTTTATATACATTATGTACATTCATATATAGTGATGAAGATGTATAGTGATGTACACATATAAAATATATACATTCATATATAGTGGGTAAAGTGAGAATAAAGGCAAAGGTGAACAATCCAAGAGGCAGTATTAGCATTTTGTTTCAGAGTCTGAGCTTGGATGTCAGGTGGAATAATTTCTGAGTCCTAGCTTTATCATCTTATAGCTGTTAGACGTGGAAAATCGATTATTCTCTCTTAGCCTTAGTTTCCTCATCTGAAAAAAAATGGGATACTAATAATACCTACTCTACTTTATAACATGGTTCCTCCCACACAGTAAGAACTCCATAAGTTAGCTATTTTTTTTATTTATACTACACCTTCACAGAAGATAGAAATATTTTAAGCAATACAACTCTTCTTCCATAAAATAATTGCAAAATAATGCTTGTAGCTATTAAGAGATTTATTTGAATTTTGAGAATGATTTCATAACATCCAAAAGAAGATAACATCCAAAAGAAGATAACCACATTTGTCAATGGCAGATAGCATCCAAAAGAAGCATCTTACATTTGAAGAGTAATGTAGAATATTCAAAGTGCTCACACCTGCACTATCTTATTTGATCCTCAGAATAAGCTATGTAATATAAATTCACTAGTTTCAAGAATAAGGAATCGAAGTTGAGAATGATTATGTGATTGACCCATGGCATTTGAATAGGAAATGATGAAGCTGAGGTTAGAACACATTTCTTCCTTACATCTAATTCAATTTTCAGAATACTATACCATATCAAACAATTTGACATTTCCACTTCATGTTAAAACCACATTGTGATTTTTTGTATTTCAAGTTTATCAGTGTAAACTCTGTTAGAAATGGCATAAATGACCTAAACTGGTCTTTAAATCATTATTGCCAGGTACAGAAATATAGGCATTGTGTTGAAAATTATTATTCCTTCTCTTTCTTAATATGTACTGAATTCTCCAACCTCACTATGTCTAACATTTAATATTAATAATTAATGGTACCAATAGGAGAGAGAAATAGGAACTCCCCTGTAATCTCTCTAACGGGCCACCTCTCCAAATTCCAGATAAAATCTTATAATGATAACTATTCAGTTTAGCACAGAAATCGTTCATTAAAGTATAATATGTGTGAGAATATATTGTCCAAGTTTCTGTTAAAACAATTATTCTAACAACTGTCCTTAAACCAAGCCAGATAAATATTTTAATTTTGTAGAACAGTATCACATAGGGAGTTAAATTAATGTGGACTGGTTTTCCTTTAGAAAATCCAATCAGGTACAAAGGGGAGGTCATTTACATTAGCTTCTGTAATACAAGTCAAATTGGTATTTTTATTAAAGTAATTTCAATAATATATCAAATACAAAAGGTTAATATCTACCTTAAACATTATACTTGCAAAAAATGGATAGTGGACTAATTGTACTGACATCTGAACAGCTCATATTAAATCAGAAATAAAAATATTAACATTCCTGAAAGGCAGATTCCTTACCTGGGTAGAAGATTGCATTGGATTCATAGGCTCAATCTAGTGATGTTCTAGTAAATGTTTTATAACCAGTTCTCTAGGGGGATAAATTGCCAAGTTGTAGGATTTCCCAATTTTCATGGTATACATACTCCCACTAGAGCTGATTTCAAGCTACCAACATAAAGTCACTCAACATAGAGTAAGGAAGAGAAGTGCACAATCAGCTCTCACAGCCAGCTTCAGGCCACCACTGCCCACACACCAGCCCCAATCCAAATACCCAGAGATGGAACTCAGAAACATGTATTTTTAAAAAGCTTCCCTAGTGATTTCAATATAATCAATTCATAGCCAGTTTTCTCAAACCACTGGCTAGATTAGCATACAACCACAGTAGTTTCTGAGGCTAAAAAAGCTAATGCACTTGCATGGCTTCTTCTGTGTAGCACAAAGGCAAGTTGAGGCAATACTGGCATCGCTGTCACCCAAGAGAACTCTGAATTGTGACAAGTATGTCTTGCTTTTAAATTAAAGTGAACTATAAGTCATCTCTTCAGTGTATAGTCACTTGTGAGCCCTGATAAATGCCAAGATTTTTTGATACTTTGCTGAGACAGAAAAAAATAAGTGCCTCCCTCTTGTAAAATAGTCACTGAAATCCTCAGTGTTTCTCAAAGATGTTATCTAGTAGTTCCCTGCCTCCAGAAATGATGGCAGCTTGATAGTATTTCATGAATCACATATGGGTAATTTCAATTCTTGGTGACTAATTGTTCAGTTGAAGCCAACAAATCTCAGACATTCCCTTTTGCAGATATCCTCAGTTTCAAATGAATTTATCACCTTGAATCTTTGAGTCTGCAAAATCTTCAAAAGATAGGAAATACGAAAGGTTCATATTGGTGTCTTTGCCTGAGTCCCCCTGAAAGGCTGAGAAAAAGGTTTGTAAGCAGGCCATTTGTTTAGGAAGCGATCAGGGAACAGCAGTGAGGAATGAGAGAATGAGTGAGGAAGGAGGGAAAGTCAATACAAAGATGCATTATCTAGCTGGAAACTTCTATAGGCAATAATTACTCAATTCTGTAGGAGGTTCTGAGAAGCTTTATGAACATCCATTTCAGAATTTCCCACCTGGCTTAAAAGGCAGAAGTTTTTATCTGGTAAATGTGTTCCCTATTAGCCAAGAATGGCGCCATAGGCATTAACTCCCTTGCACCCAGTTCTTGTTTGATCATGCATGAAAGCCCAGCAGATACTAGGCCATCAGAGAAGCACCAGGCAGGAAACAGGATGTAATTGACCCAGGCTGAGGCATTGTCATGTTGCACCTACATGACTGGTCAAGTCTCTCTAGACCTAGTAACTATAGCAGTGACTAGAGTAATAAGTGAGGACAAGATGATGTAAAATGGTGTACAAGAGGAGTCCAGTTCAGTAGGTAATGATCAGGCAGTTCTAACCTAATCCCTGACTGTTGTCTAGTTTCATGATCTCACTCTGGACTGAGAGACCTCAAAATACTATCAAGGAAGCCCCAGATCAATCAATTCATAAACTTCTTTACACTTGGAAAATGGCAGGGGGTCAGTGGGAGAAAAGAAAATCTTGTTCATAAAGGAATAGACTCATTTTTTATTTTACAACTTTGTATTCTGTAAACTATATCAAACAAAAGCATTTCTAGGGTCATTCTGATTGGGCCCTGAAAGGACAGTAAGACCCCAACAGAGAGATCCTTTCACATGGAAGAAGGGTAGGGAAAAAAGGGGAAGAGAAGAAAAGGGATAAACGTATATTCTTAGCCAAGGCCTTTGAAAAAGTAGCCACCAGAGAAAGCATCAACTATAGATAAGACTCAGGCCCTAATGCAAGAAGTTATCTTACAACAATACTAGAGGAATAATAACCCTACTGGCCCCTTTTCTATCCCCGCTCCCTTTGGTTTAGTCACAGAAACTAAGAATACCAAGAAGGATGAGGAGGGAAATAAGTGTCAGATAGGGCAGTGTTTTTCAAACTTTAATGTTTATCAGTTACCTGGAGCACTTGTTAAAATGCATTGCTGGCCTCATCCCGATTTTCTGATTCAGTAAGTCTGGGTGGGAACCAAGAATATCAATTCCTAACAATTTCCCTGTTCATGCTACTGGTCCACAGGATCATGCTTTTTAAGAACCACTGAAATAGGGAAATAGAAAGGAAGGCCCAGCAGAGCACAGTGGCTCACACCTATAATCCCAGCACTTTGCTTGAGGCCAGGAGTTCGAGACCAGCCAGTTCGAGACTAGGGCCACATGGCAAACCCTGTCTCTACAAAAAAATACAAAAATTCACCTGGCATGGCATCCCACCTGTTGTCCCAGCTACTTGGGAGGCTGAGGTGAACAGATCACTTGAGACCAGGTGGTCAACAAGACTGCAGTGAGCCGTGATCACTTGGCCCACTGCACTTCAGCCTGGGCAAGACAGAGCAAGATTCTGTCTCAAAAAAATAAAAAAGAAAAGAAAAGGCAGGTGTGGTGGCTCATGCCTGTAATCCCAGCACTTTGGGAGGGCAAGGCGGGTAGATCACTTGAGGTCAGGAGTTTGAGACCATCCTGGCCAACATGGTGAAACCCCGTTTCTACTAAAAATACAAAAATTAGCTAGGTGTCATGGCAGGCGCCTGTAATCCCAGCTACTCGGGAGACTGAGGCAGGACAATCGCTTGAACTCGAGAGGCAGAGGTTGCAGTGAGCCAATATTGCATCATTGCGCTCCAGCCTGGGTGACAAGTGAAACTCTGTCTCAAAAAAGAGAAGAAAGGAAGGCCCACACTCCCCACTTGGATTCCCACCTGCAAAAAGCTTCAGCTAGGGTAAGTAAGTAATTGTATTTTGAATGAAGATGGAAGTGTTTGCCAATACATGGGAGTGGACACTTCTCATTACTAAATTGAGACTGTGTATGTTAGATACAGACACTGTAGGATCCTAGGAGAGAGTGGTAAAGTGATAGAATTGCCCATGTTTCCATTCAGTAGCAGACAAGCTAAGGCCACTAAAGAAATTTAAAGGGGCAGAGAAATAAAAACAAAGATCTTTTCTGATTATATCCCACAATTGTATGAATTACAAAGATAAGGCACCATGCAGCACCAGGGAGACAGTGCAAGACTCCATCCCGAAAAAAAAAAAAAAAAGAAAGAAAATTTTTAAAGCAATTGACTTTACAAAATCTGATTTTATATAAAAAATAAGTTGAGAAATGATTATTTACTTTAGATATTTATTGACAATATCAAGTTGTAGCGTTTTATCCACTAAGCAACTCTAATTCATTTAAATTTTATACTTACTGTAATATGAAAATTTCAGAAATGTCTAGGACAATTTGCCTTAGAAAACAACAGATAATTTCCATGCACATTAAAATTTGAGGGCATTGGTCAGTAGCAGTGGCTCCTAATAGCATAGTGGTAGTGCAGAAGTCATTCCCCTGCAACCCTTCCTAAAGAGAAGAAATGTTGTAGCAAAACAAGAAGAGCCTTAGGTACAGTGCAAGCAGCAGAGAGGAGTGGTTAGGGGATAGAAATTTGCAGATTGCTCTGGTTTAAACAGCAGTAACCTTGGGCAAACTATTTAGTCTCTCCAAGTTTCATTTTTTCATCTTAAAAATGAGGATAATTTCTACTTCATAGGATTGCTGTGAGGATGAAATGAAATAATGTATGTGAAACACTTAGCACAGTGCCTGCCATATAGCAAGTTTTTAACAAATATTACTATTATCATTAACACATTAGTTCTCTAGAGATCACTGTAATATACATATAAAACATAATGGGCTAGGAGACAAAGAAAAATTTCTAAAGTGGTCTACAGATGTGAAATGCCATTTTTTATCTTATTTTTATTCTCTTTGTCTCCCCCCCACCAACAAATAAATATAATTAAGAAGCTGGGTGTGGTAGAAAGGATATCTTGAATGAGTTTTGGACACAATAAACCTCTCAAAACCTCAGTTCCCTCATTTACAGAACAACAATCCTAATGCAATGCTTAGGTCTCAGGAATGTCGTAAGAATAAAAAGGATGGCGGCCAGGTGCGGTGGCTCATGCCTGTAATCCCAGCACTTCAGGAGGCCGAGGTGGGCAGATCACGAGGTCAGGAGTTCGAGACCATCCTGGTCAAAATGGTGAAACCTCGTCTCTACTAAAAATACAAAAATTAGCCAGGCATGGTGGCGCGCGCCTGTAGTCCCAGCTATTCAGGAGGCTGAGGCAGGAGAATCGCTTGAACCCGGGAGGCAGAGGTTGCAGTGAGCCGAGATCATGCCACTGTACTCTAGCCCAGGTGACAGTGTGAGACTCCATCTCAAAAAATAAGTAAATGAATAAATAAATAAAAATAAAAGGGATGGCATATGGTAAAGAGCCCAGCAGTGAGTCTAGGTACAGTCATGAAGGTCAAGGGAAAGTGGCTTGGATACATCTTCCCTATGCTAGAGAGTTCTTGTGATGACAACAGAGAAATTGTGGGAGTATCACATCTGAGCTCAGAGGGGAAAAAGAAAGAAAGAGAGAGGGGGAGGGAAAAAGGAAGGTGCAAGGAAGGTGCTATTTCTTTGGACAAGCAACTTCTTAGAAACAAGATATAAGAATGCTGCAATCAAAATTCCTGCCTACCTCTAGCTTTAGGCAGGTAATTAAGAATACTTTTTTAAAATCGGCACATAGAGATCAAGAGATATCAAGTCAGTTATTTATAATGTACGACATTATGAAATTAAAATTCTGAGAATAACTTTCAGCCTGAATCATGATCAAGTTTCTGCTCCTGATTGTTCCAACTACATATAACAATATTCATTAAGACTAACAATCACAAGGCAACAAGTGAACTATTACTGTATAAGCAGTAATTTATTTATAAAATGCTAAGTATCCTGAAACCTGTAAATATCTGATATCTTAATACATATGATTGACATCTATATTATTTATAAAATGTATACTACACACGATAAGGTTTAGTAAATACCTTAGGAAAAAAGTATCTTTAAGTAATTACAAATCTTACAAACATTATTTTTCAATAAATGAGAATTACATTTAATGGTCTAGATTGTAACCTTATTTTACCTACCATCAGACAAATAAGGTTCAATTTAGTCACCTTGTAGTCATTAGAGAAATAAAAATGGAAAGAAGTACTGTGAAGGCTGTAGCCCAGCATCACAAGAGGAGGTAACATGACTCCGATCTACTGAAAGTGTGATCTTGTCCGTGTCACTGAATCCCATAATTGAGATTATGTGTCACTGTCAAATTGGAAGTAACAGAGCTTAGAGAACTCTTAGGTACAACAGATGAATAGATAAGCCACTCAAACTCACTGTGACTCAGTGAGGCAAGAGCCATCACTAATGATCTCTGAAGCACAAAAATTTGTTAATTCCAGACTTGAACTGGAAGCACCAAAGCAAAAGTTTAGAAAAGGCCTTTCTCAGTGGACCCTATTCCTAGATATAGACATCAATTCCAAAATCACACACCATTCTTTTAGACTTTTTCTTCACAGACTGCCAGGCACAGCAGGGATTGAAAGCCTTACCTAGGGCAACTTACATCTTAAGTACAGATAGGCTCTTCTTCTAAAAGAACTCTGAGCTTAATTGCAACTTAAAAGGCCATTGAAATTCAGTGCAACTAGGAGACAAACTTTGGTTTTATTTCAGGATTAAAACAAACAACTTTGTAATAAAATATACCAGTATGAATTTTATGCTTAAAAAAAGGAGGATCCTCACTGTATATGACTATCTGTAACATTTAAATATTTATGCATAAATTTCCATTTTACTGCAAATCATAGAAGATTATTGGTTTATCTAATAAGTAATCAGTGTATTAAGGGGATTTTAAGTTGAAGAAAGTAATTAAAAATGGCCAAGTATGCTTAATGAAAATTATTCCATTTTAATATCTCTTTTCTAATTAATAAGTGTTTTTCTAAAATTTGAAAGAAGCCAGGTGTTCAGCAAATAAAACTAATGTCTGTGAACTCTAGGCATGTTTGTATTATCCTGGCTTAGATGGGGTTTTAAGATTAGGAGGGACCTTAAATGTCACCTGCTTAATCCCTCAGCATCTCATCTGCCAAATGGTCATCCAATGTATGTTTTGATCCTTCCAGTTTCAGGGAGCCTATGGCCTCTCATTTCATCTTCAGAGAACTTGAATTATTAGAATTTATTTCTTCTATTCAGCTAAAATACAACCTAAATTTTTGGCTTAGAAAATGAATAAAATGAACAAATAATTTAATGACCAAGGTCTAGATTTAGAATAACACTTTAATAGGAATAACTTGTTAATTCAATCATGATTGGAGTCATATGGCATTAGACAAACTACAACATAGGTGGGACAAATGCCTGTGATGGTATTTTTACCATAAAACCCCTAATGGTAACTGACTGTGCTCTTCCTATTCCTCTAAGGCTGACAAGTGGAGCCTACAATGGGCTGTGCCATTACAGGTTACAGAACAATAGTCAGTGAGTCATGTTCTGCCAGAGCCAAAGAGAATGAGGCCTCATTGGATATTAGAGTCATGATCCCAGTGGTCTGAAATTTGTCCTGTCATCCAAAGCCCATGTCTCCCATGACACTAGTGCTCCAAGCTCCAAGCTTGACCCTTTGTCCCACTCTATTCTGGGCTTCAGCCATGGTGCCCACTTTATGTTCAAGCCTCCTTTCTGAACTCTAGGCCATTTGCTTGGAATCCGAATTTACCTACCTCTTGTCAGCCACCTCTCCCTAATGGAGCTGGAACTTAGATCTGTATCCTCAGACACTAGCTAAGGTACTGGATTTACTATTTTGAAAACAAGCTACCTCTACCTGACTATAATTATCTGCTCTTGTCCAAATACTTCTATAGCTAGGTCACTACTTCACATTTTAAGAACTTCTATGATGTTAATAGTAGTTTGCTTCAGACTTGAACTACTTGCCCTTGAACACTGGAATATGGACTCCCGGCCACACTCCGTGGGAGTCAGCACTACTGCCATGTTAATTTCTCTTAGGGGCATCATCAGAGAATAAAAGGTGTCCTGGCCTAGATCAGTTTTCCAAGGCTTTTTCTCATTTGGTCCTGACTTACTTATGTATTACTGAGGTCTCGAAATGTCTGCTGCTAGAAACCCTATCAAGTTATTAGGACAACAAATTTGGAAGGGGAATATTCTTTAAAGACCTACAGAAAGTGGCCAGGCGTGGTGGCTCACGCCTGTAATCCCAGCACTTTGGGAGGCCAAGGCAGGCAGATCATGAGGGTCAGGAGTTTGAGACCAGCCTGACCAACATGGTGAAACCCCGTCTCTACTAAAAATACAAAAATTAGCCAGGTGTGGTGGCAGGTGCCTGTAGTCTCAGCTACTCGGGAGGCAGAGGCAGGAGAATTGCTTGAACCCAGGAGGCGGAGGTTGCAGTGAGCCAAGATCATACCACTGTACTCCAGACTGTGCAACAGAGCAAGACTCTGTCTCAAAAAAAAAAAAAAAAAAGATCTACAGAAAGTTGACTCAAACTAAAGTACAGGGATTAGTATACAGTGGTTCGATTAAAAATTATGAATATATTTGGCCTGGCGTGGTGGCTCACGCCTATAATCCCAGCACGTTGGGAGGCCAAGGTGGGCAGATCACAAGGTCGGGAGATCAAGACCATCCTGGCTAACACGGTGAAACCCCTTCTCTACTAAAAATACAAAAAAAAATTAGCCGGGCGTGGTGGCGGGCACCTGTAGTCCCAGCTTCTTGGGAGGCTGAGGCAGGAGAATGCCATGAACCCGGGAGGCGGAGATTGCAGTGAGCCGAGATCGCACCACTGCACTCCAGCCTGGAGTGACAGAGCGAGACTCCGTCTAGAAAAAAACAAACAAACAAACAAACAAAAAAAAATAGTATATATATATATATTTAAACAGAGAGCAAGAGTTCTGCAGGATGCCTTGATAAAACAGAATGTTTGTTAAACTAAATGGATGTGATCTAATAGTGACAAAGTGATGCAACAAATTTCAGGCTATGTAGGGAGATAGTTTCAAGCAGAAAGCCCTTCCCATTGTCCCTTAAATCACAGCATATAAGTGACTTCAGCCAGGCATAATCACAACTTTGTTTACTTAATCCCACCAATGCATGTTCATCTTCCCCTTCCAGCTCCCTTGTCTGTAATATACACATGGCAGGTGACTGTATTCTGTCTTGCATTTTTCTCTATCTCCTGTGAATATGTCTTATCTCTACAAGCAGATTACAAACTCTATACCTTACCTTACCTTATCATACTAGGAATGTTTTCAGCAGACAATAAAGTGTTGTTGAATTGAATTGAATCTAACTGGATTGAAACAAACTGGGGTAAAAATGACTTTATATTGCAGAAAAACGAAGCTGACAACAGAGTTGAACCAGATGCCCGATAGAATTCCGAGAATGGATAACTGAGGTTTAGAGAGAAACTAAAAATACTATTACACAAATCAAGGCAGGGCGTGGTGGCTCACTCCTGTAGTACCAGCACTTTGGGAGGCCAAGGTGGGTGGATCACTTGAAGCCAGAAGTTTGAGACCAGCCTGGCCGACATGGTGAAACCCTGTCTCTACTAAAAATACAAAAGTTAGCCAGGTGTGGTGGCACATGCCTGTAATCCCAGCTATTCAGGTGGCTGAGGCACAAGAATCACTTGAGCCCAGGAGGTGGACGTTGCAGTGAGCTGAAATCACACCACTGCACTCCATCCTGGGAGACAGAGCAGGACTCTGTCTCCAAAAAGAAAAAAAAAAAAATGCTACTACACAAATCAGAAAACTAAATGTGGAATAATTAAAATATAGGTAAATGTTATAAATTAGGGTCTATGATAAACAGAATAATGACACCCTAAAGAGTTCTACCTCCTCATCCGTGGAAACTATGAATATTTTACCTTAAAGGCAAAAGGGACTTTGCAGGTATGATTAGGTTAAGGATCTTTAGCTGGGGAGATTATTCTGGATTATCCATGTGGATCCAAAGTAATCATAAGTTTTTGAAATTGAAAGAGAGAGGCAAAAGAATGGGCCAGAAAGATCATATGGAAGAAGGAGGAGGAGAAATCTGAAGTGAGGGAGCAACTGGACTTGCCATTGTGGGGTTTGAAGATGGAGGAACAGGTCTATGAGCCAAGGAATGTGGATGACCTTAAGAAGCTGGAAATATCCCTCAAACAGTAAGCAAGAAAGTGGGGTCTCAGCCCCACCACCACCAGGAACTGAATTCTGCCAGCAACTCAAATGAGCAAGGCAGGTTCTCCCCTAGAACTTCTAGACAGAAACACAGCCTACTGACACCTTGGTTTTAGCCTGGTGAGAGCTAAGACTCTGGACCAGACTTCTTACTATAGAACTGTAAGATAACAAATGTGTGTCATTTTAATCCACCACATTTATGGTTATTGCGTATGGCAACAATAGGAAACTCATTTAGGGAGTGGGTTGCTTTACATGCCCACCCTAGTTGGGCAGTCTGAGTTACTGAGACAAGTTATGTGAGGGAGGGTTTAGCATTTACACACCAGCAGTGTATAGGTTAGGGGGTGAGAGCGCAAATACAGGGATCAGGAGCCATTTCCAAGACAACTAGTGAGTGATCCTACTCAAAGAACTACCAAATCCAGTTCTTTATTTCTAACACTTCTTCATTTCCTTTCCCCACTCTAATTTTCTAACTTATTTAGTAATTTATTTAATAAATCTTGTAAGGCCTTGGGGATTCAAGGAAATAATACACAGTGTTATTCTCAAGGAGCTCATAACCTTAAAAATGCAACAATGTACCAACAAATTACATTGTACAGCAAAAGACTTCACAAAGTACTTTCACCTGCATTCTCACTTAACCCTTAAGGCTTCTATCTATGTAGGACACTAATTGTACTGTGGACTGTAGTGTGTTGGGGGGGTAGGGGGGAGGAATTCTGCTCTGCTTAGCTTTAGCTAGTTCAGTATTTAAAGTGTAGACATGGCCACAAATGAGATGTATTTTACCACAAAAGTCAAGAATTCAAAATTAAAATATATTTTAAATGAGATTTGAAATGGATTGAAGAAAATGAAATTAATCTAGAAATGCTATTAGCACTAAGCACTTACTAATCTAAATTCTAAATGAAACTTTTCTATCCTGTAAGTTGCCAATATGCAAAACAGCTTCTAAATGTCTCCAAGATTGTGAGTAAAACCCCAATGATCAGGTTGGCAAAAGCCCACGAAGTGACAGGAGCTGCATTCATTACACACCTGCTGTACAGCAGACACTGTGGCGTGCTTTGCTGGCCTTACCTCATTCACCTCAGACGCCAGCAGTCATTCATCTCCTAGAAAACACTATTGTCATTAAGTGAGGAAATGGATGCTCAGAAAAAGTAAGGGTGCTGACTCAATAAAAGAGAAGTAGTCAAGAAAGAACAACGATGAACCAATAAAAATGTTATCAGTAGGACAAACAGCAAAGAAACAAATCAGTTAAAGGTACACCATATGCTATATTAATACTCTATTACTGGGGTAACAAATTGCCACAAACTTTGTGGCTTAAAATAATACAAATCTACTGTCTTACAGTTCTGGATATAAGAAGTCAAATACTGGCAGGTTTGGTTCCTTCTGGAGGCTGCATGGTAAAATTTGTTTCCATTCTTCTGCAGTTTCTAAAGGATGCCTGCTTTCCTTAGCTCATAGTCCCTCCCTCTGTCTTCAAATCCAGCACAGTAGCACCTCCTTTCTCTGACTCTTTCCTGCCTACCTTTTAAAAAGACTGTTGTGATTACATAAGTCCCACCCAGAAAATCCAGAATAATTTCCCATTTCAAAATTCTTAATTATATCTCTTAAGTCCCTTTTGCCATAGAGTATTCCCCCTCTTATTCTCAAGGGAGATAAGACCCCCAGTGAATGTCTGAAACCAAGGATAATAATGAACCCTATATATACTCTGTTTTTTCCTATACATACATACCTATAATAAAATGTCATTTATACATCAGGCAGAGTAAGAGATTAACAACAATAACTAATGATAAAACAGAATAATTTTAACAACATGCTAGCATCAGTACTATTGCATGTTGGGGACATCATTAAGTAAAATAAGGGTTACTTTACCACAAGCACTGCAATACCTCGACAGTAGATCTGATAATGGAGACAGCTACTAAGTGACTAATGGGCCTGTAGTGTCTACAACATGGGTTCACTGGACAAATGGATGATTCACACCCAGGTGGAACAGAGTAGGACAGTGTGGTATGGTGACAGATTTCATCACACTAATCAGAACAGCATTTAAACTTACAAATTATTTATTTCTGGAGTTTTTCATTTAATATTTTCAGACTGTGATTTACCATGGATAACTGAAAGTGTGGAAAGTAAAACTTCAGATAAGAGAGGATTACTGTATAAGTAACATATTCACAGGCTCTGAGAGTTATGAAGTGGAAATCTTCATGGGAGGGGGACACTCAGTTTACCCCACAAAGGAAGACAGAGTTGAGCTAATAACAAGGAAGTACAGAACAGAAATGGAAATAAGAACAAACTAGGCTGGGTCAAAAACTTGTTGAAATGCCTAGGCATATCTGAGAGTATTATTGTCCCCAAAATATATTCTATGATACAATATATGTAGTTGTTAGAATTTAGTGAGCTTTCCACGTAGAGGTGAGTAAATGAAGGCTGGTGAAGCAATACATCTATGCTTACTTTTCTTATTTTTTCTTTTCTTTTTTTTTTTTTTTTTGAGACAGAGTCTTACCCTGTCGCCCAGGCTGGAGTGCAATGGTGCAATCTCAGTCACTGCAACCTCCCCTCCCAGGTTCAAGCAATTCTCCTGCCTCAGCCTCCCGAGTAGCTGGGATTACAGGCACCCGCCACCATGCCTGGCTAATTTTTGTATTTTTAGTAGAGACGGGGTTTCTCCATGTTGGCCAGGCTGGTCTCAAACCCCTGACCTCAGGTGATCCACCCACCAACACCTCCCAAAGTGCTGGGATTACAGGCGTGAGCTGCCGCGCCCAGCCACATCTACGCTTACTTTTAAAAGGCAACTGACTGGAGCTGTCGCTCTAAAAGGAACAAATCCAGAGGCAGTACCTAAAAAAATCAAGCTAGGTCAAGGATAACGCAAAGTCTTTCTCCAAAGGTAGAGCAAAGCAGTGCATTCAACAGGCCTAGACACAACTCTCCCAACCATTGGATTCATATAGCTGCTCATTAACTGGTTTCAAATTTATCTTAGGCCATTAGTAGAAGATTTTCTACCAAATAATTACCTTAAAAACTCTAAGTATCTCCTGAGGGAAGAACCCTAGAGCTAGCTGTCTCAGCACTATAAAATAAAATAATCAGGAGAAGTAAGAACCACTGATGGCTCATAAAAGCTTTGAGTTACCTGAATGCTCAAGGCCATGCCATTTATAAAGTCTAAGAGGCTTAGCAGGCTATTGCTATGAAATGTAACTGTAAAAAAAAAAAAGCATCATCAGTGTCTGAGACAGAGGAACTTAGGTTCAGGGCCCAGGCATATGGCACAAGGAAAGGATCCCTCTTCATCTCTCACACTCTATTACCACACGTACCTAACTGGTCTCTTTGTCTTCAGTCTTGCCTCACTGAATTCATCTTCCTCAATGCCAAGGTTATCTTTCTGAGACACACATCTGATCAGCTTGCTTTCCATCTTAATCTCTGATAATCCTCACAATATGTAGAATAAAGCACATACTGTTTGGTGTAACACATGAAGTTCTAAAAGTGAGGCTTTTACCTACCTTTATAATTTTATCTCCTACTTCTCCTTTCCATGTGTTAAACAAACACTTTTGTCCAAATGGATGTTTACTTAAGGCACTTCTCACTTTTAACTATCATTGCATATACCACTCCTTTGGCCTGAACAAAGGACCTCTTCATTCAATGGCTATCCAATTCAAATGCCAATCACTCAGCAAAGCCTTCTGAAACTAGTTCAGTAAAGTTTTAAGTTCTCTCCATGCTGTGCTCTCATTGCTAACACAGAGGCATAGAGAAAAAGTTCTCAGTGTATTGCAAACTTGAACCCAAGCCATGCCAATATTACTTTCCAAGAGGTTCCCATCAGGTCAGAGCATAGCAGGGGCCCCTAGGGAAGTTGTTCTCAGTATGTGACACCCATCAGAATCAACTATAAAACTTTGTAAATGAAAATAAAATTCCAAAGACTAGCCCCAGAATTAAAATCTATGGTTGTAGACCTAGAAGGCTTACAGGTTTTTAATGGGCTTCACAGTTGGTTTTGATGAAGAGGAGGGAATGAAGATCCTCAACCAGGCTGATGTTAGAACATCACTGGTAACTGGGAGTGTGGACTCGAAAGTCTAAGCTAGAGATAAGCAGGCAGGCAGGGCCATAGCTATGTAGGTTGGGACCCAGGGCAGCAGAGGGCCATAGCCAAGAAGCCAAGGTGAAAGCTCTTCTATTTGAATCAAGAGAACATCAGAATTGGAGGAAAGCTACGACTCAGTAAGGAACCCAGTAAGGTATACTGGGCCTACCTTAGACACACTGAAAAACAAGACAAATTGTAGAACTCACCAAATGGAGGTTTCCCCAACAGCAACATTGCATCACCAGGAAACTTGTCAGAAAAGCATCTTGGGCCCCATCTCAAACCTACTGAATAAGAGTCTGCATTGTAAAGACATCCCAGGTGATTCGAAGTCCACATTAATGTTTGAGAAGCATCCAAGCCTAGTTCTGGATGATGCCAATGCTGCTGGTCTCTGGACTGCACCAAGAGGAGCAAGAGTCTTGACCAACAACTGAGCCAGGTAGAAGAAATTCAAGTATTACCACTGTGAGTAGTTTGAGGACAAGAACCTCTTTCAATCTACCTTCTTTCAGCCTTAGCAGAAGGCCTTGGAAACTGAAAATATGGTCTATTTGTTGAAAATTGAGGACCTAAAGCTGGTTCAATTCCAACTTCCACTCACCAGCTCTGTTGTGCTGTCAAGTTACTTAACTTCTTTTTTTTTTCTTTTTTTGAGACGGAGTCTTGCTCTGTCGCCCAGGCTGGAGTGCAGTGGCACAATCTCGGCTCACTGCAAGCTCCACCTCCCAGGTTCACGCCATTCTCCTGCCTCAGCCTCCTGAGTAGCTGGGACTACAGGCGCCCACCACCACACCTGGCTAATTTTTTTTGTCTTTTTAGTAGAGACGGGGTTTCCCTGTGTTAACCAGGATGGTCTTGATCTCCTGACCTCGTGATCTGCCCGCCTCGGCCTCCCAAAGTGCTGGGATTACAGGCGTGAGCCACCACGCTCAGCCTACTTAACTTCTTTAGGCTTCAATTTCTCACCTGGAATATGGGGATACTGCCTCTCAAGAATGAGAGGAAGTTATCACCTTATTTTTCTTAGCATTATAAGTGCTCAGTAGGTGTTGAAAAAAATCATTAATCGATAGTCTATTTTAAAAAAATTTTTTTGAGACGGAGTCTTGCTCTGTTGCCTAGACTAGAGTACAGTGGCACAATAGGCTCACTGCAGCCTCCACTTCCCAGGTTCAAGCGATTCTCCTGCCTCAGCCTCCCGAATGACTGAGACTACAGGTCCACACCACCAGGTCTGGCTAATTTTCGTATTTTTAGTAGAGTTGGGGTTTCACCACTTTGGCCAGGTTGGTCTCGAACTCCTGACCTCAAGTGAAACACACATCTGACCAGCTTGCTTTCCATTTGCATGTCAGCCTCCCAAAGTGCTGGGATTACAGTGTGAGCCATCACACCCAGCCGATAGTCAATTATTGATTGATTGATATATAAATTGACTTTTAGTGAGGAAAAGAGCTCCAAAATTCTAGTCGTATAAATGATTTCAATCTGACTCATACAATCTATAATGAAAAAGATGGCTAAAATCTTAGTAATTAGCAGACATTTCATGCATAAGACTTCTTAGAATATTAATATGCAAGTGTCTCTTAAGTTATGGGTAGAAGAACTCTCTAAAGCATGATGATTGCTAACCTTTTTGGAGTGGTAACACCAAATTGACATTTATGAGACTTCAAAATGCTCTTATTCTCCCCAAAATACCTAAGAAGAATACTTTTTTTCCCCTCATGGCTTATTTTTCATTTAATTAAATTTAAATTGATTTGCTTGAGAATATTTTGACATTTTAGCATTATAGAGTGTTGCAAATCTGGATGGCAATCCCTGCCATAATGAACAACACAGGTTCAAAGAAATACATTTAACTTTATGTTAAATAGCTCCCTTGTTTTTATCTAGTGCTTTATAATCTTCAAAAAAACTTTTGCTCCTACCTCATTTATCCCTGTAACAACTTTATGGCTGTTTTGTGGCAAAAGTGAGAATAGAACTCAAGTTTCCTAATTCTCAACCATTTCTCTATTTCTTTTTATTTATTTATTTATTTTTAAAACTCTGTTCAGCTACCACCAGCACCACTGCCACCATCTGATTAGACTGCCACATGTTATCCATACATGGATGCTAACCTGTATCCAAACCCAAGTCAAAGCCAGGTCACCTGCTCAGCTGCCTAGTATCCTAATTCTGCTCCAATCAAGCATCGTTTCCAAAAAGTATGTTCTAAGTATCACACAGGCAATAGCTTCCTAAACATTTATGAAAAAGTTTTTTTATTTTTTGAAGTAACTTTTTAGTTTTAGAAATTAGAAGTCAAATTTGGAGATGTGACTTACATTTTTTAATTTTGAATTTTTCAAATGTATGGTAAGATGTAACTTTTAGAAATTTGACCCTTCATTATTTACTAAACATTACATTTGTTTATAAGGCTTCTCAACTCAACTTTCTTGTAGATAATGCTGTAACCTATAAAAGGCAGTTTTTACAAAGTATTGCTGTGTATTCCAATGTTGGATACCAATTTTTACTAAGGATTCTAATTCCTGGATTTTGAAAATGAGCACAAATCTTAGACTGATAAATGATAAAGCAGTGAGATTTTATTAGTAAATATTAATATTTAAGCTCTCAAAAATACCCCATATAGTCTACCATAACAGCATGTTCTTCTTTTAAAAAAATCACTTAAAGATTTCAAGTTACTTATTAAACTTTAGAAATGATACTGTGACATGTTTTCTGAAACCTAGTATACATTTTTAAAGTATTGCTAATGGGCTGGGTAATCCATTAAAGTTACATAATTATGACAGAACAACCGTAGCATCGTTAAAGAAAAACTGACAACTCCAAACTGACAAGTGTAAGAAATTCCAAAGTTGCAGTGACAATTCGGATCTACTTCCTTTCATGCCCAGATTTACTTAATATCTCATTTGATTTTCAAACCTTCCCTCAGAAGCAATTGGAACAAAACCATGAGCAAGCTCAATCTCCATTTGGGCATGTAACCCTTTTACAAACACAATTACAGCCAAACACTATTGTAACCTGATTTGCATTTGCACTAACTAAGTTACAAAGCACATTGAGGATGCCTGCTATGCATACTACAGACTTGTTAGGAGGATATATTGCAGGGCTTCTGTGAACACTAATTAAAAAGGTTTTATCTTTCCCCTCTGGTCCACTGAAATTGTTCAAATGCCTTGCCTGCTACAACTTTGTTCAAAAACAGTTTTCAAACATGTGATCAGAGCTAGGCAACTATTTCAGGTGGCATGATTCTGTTTCCACGGTGGACAAGGCCCTAGAGACAAAGTTTCAGTCCAAACTTTGAGCTTCCTTTCCTTTGTTATTTTGTGTTGCAACCTTAATATTATCCAACTGTGGACTTTTATCTCTGAATATCTAAATCCTGTCTTGTGGAAAACTAATTACTGAACCACTGAGAGCTTCATAATGTCCTGCATTTAAGTCCTGAGCATCATACATAATGCATAGGCAGCAGTCTCTGCACTCTGATTACAGAACACTGTCATTAAGTGAGCAAATTAAAGATGTGAATAATTCACTGGCTGAGCTTATTGTCAGTGCTGCATTGTGAAATTAGAATTTCTAATAAGTACTGCAATTTTTTTAACCCAATTAACACAGAGAACATCTTGAGACTGATTAGTACAATAAAAATTATTACCTTATTCTTTTGCTTCACAACAGCCAAATTAAATACTGTACTTAATTATGCAGCATTCATCCTTCTCTGCTAAAAAAAAAACCCTATCATTTTAATAAGAGTTCTAATATTTGTATGTGAGCTAAAAATACAGCACATGCATCTGTAGCTCACTGTCTTTTTACAAAGTTTTTTTAAGAGTCTGAACATCAGTATTATCACCAGTGGTGGATTAGGATGACACTAGTCTATTCTTAAACCAAATATTTTTCCTACAAAACAAACAGCATACATAGAATTGACAAAGTAACTAACCTCCCCAAATTGACTTGAATCTATTATGCCTCTGGTTTTTCTTGGCTTTTTAGATACACATTAACACAGATTTGCCCCCACTATGCTGTTTGTGGTTGAGGCTGAAACATATATTTAAGAAAATTAATCGATTAGGAAAAAAGCAAGTATCTGAAACAGTGGGTCTTACCTCAGATGTTCATTTAGCACGCAGGGATCTGTGTGACTCCTGCCAGGCAAGTGGGAAAGTCCAGTTTATGCTCGGCATGATGATCCTACGCAGAGAGTGTCTGCTGCCATGTTAAATAAAGAAAATGATCATTTAAACCGGGGCTTTTGTCTCCCAATATTTCCTCCTGCTGCCCCTTTCTCATCAAAGCCCAGAAAGGCAGGCACATCTGGCGGCAGTCCCTGCCCCTGACCGCAGCTGCCTCTGGAGAGCTCCCCCCTTCTTTTCCAGCTCCTCTGCATCCCTTGCTGGGCAACTTCAGCCCCCTAAAATGGGGGAAAGAAACGATGACATTGCAGGCAGAATATGAGATTGTTCAGCCTCTGCAGCCACCTCCTTCCTGTCTAGATATTTTATGAGAAGGGAACGAGAAGGGGGAAACAGCGAAGGTGCTCTGAAAATCAGTCAGACACAATGCAATAGGGAGATGGAGAGGAGGGAAAGGAGAATGAGAAAGAGAGAGTGTGTGTGTGTAAGGGGGGTGGCTGTCAGTGCAGATAAATCTGCATATGGAAATTAGGGTTATCCTGGGTACAGTTTTATTTAACTATGATCTACTGTTTTTTTAATTAGACCAAATTTTAGCAAAGGAAAGGAAGAAAGAGTCTTGAAACCAGAGAGCAACTTCTAATTCAATGGACAAAATTTCAGAGCAACTGCAAATAGCAGATCCAAAAGTTGTAGAATAAAGAAAAGCAACAAAAAAAGGACATTTCTCCCCTTGTTTTGTTTAATAAACAAGGAGAAAGATTCCATCCTCACAACCAAAAATTAATAAATAAATTAAATAAAAGGAAATTACGATGAGAATGGGAAGGAATTTAAAGAAAGGAAAAAAAACTCTTTCATGATCTGCATAAAATTTCATCTTAAAATGCTACAACAATCAAGATAAAGGGATTTTCAGAAGAATATATATATACACACATATATACATATATATATATAAAATTGGGGTTACATGTGAAAATTAGTAACAATACATTCTGACATTTTAATATTAGAGATGTAGCATATTTTTCCCTTCCTTAGAGAACTCCTGTTTTGTAGCTCTAACCCATGGCAACATATTATGATCACATACCATAATCATTTGAGGAAGTCATAATACCAGCCTACTAGCCTTACGGGATGCTGAGAGTAAAACAATGAGACAGAGTGACTAAAAGACTCCTGGAGGTTGGTTGGTGTGTCTAGCAATGAGTCCTCTACCAGAGGTGCTGCCAGGATAGTGATCTGACCGGAAGGAACTTGAATTAATTCCATAAGCTGTAAGTGGTGAATTTGATGACATAGATTAATATTAATTCACTTGTTGAACATTTATTGAACACCTATCACTGCAAACATTGTGCTAGAAAGCAGACATAAGATGAACACTGCAAGATTCCTGCTCTCGAGAACCCAGAATTCAATGGGAAAAAAATAAATTTAAAATGAAGTGGTATTGCAGGTTTGTAAACAAAGAAAGTAGTTGAGATAGTCTTGACTCAAGCAGTGTGGGCACATGTCAGCACCCTTGTAACTTTCCATCCACATGCACAGCTGGAACTTTCAAGACCAGCTCAAGCACCCTAAGCAAGTTACTTTGTCCCTTTGAACCTTAGTTTCTTCAGCTGTAAACTGACAATAATATCTGCTTTTTAAGGTTGGAATTATAAGAAATAATTAAAGTAAAACATTACCTTATGTCTGGCTTGTGATAATTGCTCAATAAAACTGAGAATTGCAAATCAATTCTCAGTTCAAATGGCACCTCCTCTGGCAAACCTCCTCTGCAGCAATATCTGCTGACAGGTTCAGAAGCTTCTTCTGGAATGCTCCCACTGGCCTCCATCATATTATCTTAATGTAATTTTCAGCAGGTCTATCTCTATAGCAGTGGTTCTCAACTTGGGGCCATTTTGCCTTCCAGGAGACACTTAACAATGTCTGGAAACATCATTGATTTTCATGACTACAGGAGAAAGGTTGCTACTGGCATGCAATAAGCAGAGGCCAAGGATACTGTTATACACCCTACAAATTTTGGCTTCTAATAAAAGGAACTTGGGGGTCCTTAGACGAAAGGCTGACTCTAGGACTGGGGCTGAAAATATACAAAGTGGGCCTGGAGTATCTTGCAGTGCTAGGAAATAGGAAGTGCTCAGAAAACAAAACAAAACCCACATTGTTAGGGGTATGTCAAAGGGACACAGGAACCATCAGAAAGAGCTCTCGATGTCTAAAACTAGAACTAGTTAAACAACAAAATAAACAAAGTAGTATTGGGTTATAACTCAAAGTATAATATAAATACCATGAGTCTATATTAATGTAAGTAAATTATTGAAAAATAATCAGAGGAGAAGAAACAAATCTTCCTTGCCAAATAATTCCAAATGATTTATATAAATAACCTCTCTTAATGAGAGGGAGTATAATTCTCCACTCCTAAAGTGTGGGCTGATTACTGACTTCCACAGTAGAAGGTGGGAGGGGAGTTTCATGGGGGTTTCATGGGGGAGTAACTTTACAGAGGAAACCTGGCAAACACTACCTCAGCCAGGTAGTGAGAAGGTACATCAACAATGGTAAGTCATGTTGATAATGTGTGTGCTCTAACCCCAATCTAATCATGAGAAAAGCATCAGATAAATTCCAATAGAGGGGCGTTTGATAAAACATTTGACCAGGCTTCTCAGAACTGCCAAGGAGCCAGGTGTGGTGGTTCATGCCTGTAATCTCAGCACTTTGGGAGGCCGAGGCAGGAGGATCACTTGAGCCCAGGAGTTCAAGACTGACCTGGGCAACATGGGAAAACTCTGTCTGTACAAAAAATATAAAACTTAGTGAGGCATGGTTGCTCTCATTGCTGCTTATTTGGGAGGCTGAGATGGGAAAATCACTTGAGGCCAGGAGGTCGAGGCTGCAGTAAGCTGTGATCGCACCACTGCACTACAGCCTGGGTGATAGAGCAAGACTCTGTCTCTAAAAAAAACAAAACCTGGCCAGATGCGGTGGCTCATGGCTGTAATCCCAGCATTTTGGGAGGCCCCTCAGCCTCGTGGGCAGATCACGAGGTCAAGAGATCGAGACCATCCTGGCCAACATGCCGAAACCCCGTCTCTACCAAAAACACAAAAATTACCTGGGTGTGGTGGCACGCACCTGTAGTCCCAGCTACTCGGGAGGCTGAGGCAGGAGAATTGCTTGAACCCAGGAGCTAGAGGTTGCAGTGAGCCGAGATCCACCACTGCACTCCAGCCTGACTGTCTCAAAAAAAAAAACAAAAAAAAAAACCTGTCAAGGCCATCAAAAACAAAGTGTAAGAAATTATCATAGCCAAGAGGAGTCTAAGGAGATATGTAAACTAAACGTAATGTATGGGACCCTTGAACAGAAAAAGGACTTTAGGTTAAAACTCAGGAAATATGAGTAAAGTATAGACTGTAGTTAATAATAATGTCAATTGATCGGTTCTTTAATTGTAATATATGTACCATATTAATGTAAGATGTTAATAATAGGGGAAACTGGGTGTAGGGTATATGTGAACTGTACTATCTTTGCAATGTTTTTATAAATCTAAAACTACTCTAAAAATAAAATGTATTTAATAAAAAGAGTCAGTAGTGCAAAAGTTAAAAACCCCTGCCCTATACAATACTATAAGCTTCTTAAAGGCAGAGTCTTTGTGGTTTTACTGTATATGTGTATAGGCTCACTTTGGTCATTAGTCCTCAAAGATGGCCCTCCAATGAACCATGCCTCTCAGAATGCATGCTTTTGTGCATTCCCTGCCACTTGAATCTGGCTTGGTCCTGTGTGACTTGCTTTTGACTAACAGAGTGCAGTAGAAGTGACACTGTGTGACTCCTGAGCCAAGGTAAGACCTAAGTTTCCACCTAGGTCTCATTCTGGGAAAGCCAGCCATCATGTAAGAAGTGTGAACACATTGAAATCTCCATACTATTAAAGAGCCAAGCTACCACATGGAGAAGACTATGGAGAGGAGACACAAAGAGAAAGGGAGGGAGGGAGAAAGAGAGAGAGAGAGAGAGAGAGAGAGAGAGAGAGAAATCGATCCAGCTAGTCCTCAGCTGCTGTTCCATCACTCTATTCCACCTAAACATGTGAGTGAAGAATCCACATTTGACATCCAGCACAGTGTAGCCTACAGATGACTTTAGCTCCAGGATCTCTTTCCCTGCAATAGTATGAGAGAGACAAGCAAGAACTACTCACATGAGCCCAATTTACCCACCAGATCGTAATAAAACATAGCAAATGGTTGGTTTAAGACACTAGGTGGAGAGGTGGTTTGTTATGGAGAAACAGATAATTGGAAAACTCACTCAGTGCCTTTTACTTGTTAGGTATTCCCCCAAAACAACAAAGGGGCTTCTGTACTGTAGGGAAAAAGTAATGGTGGAATTTCTTATAATGTTTTAGACCACTTCCATTAAAAAATTCTATTAGTTGCTAAATTCAGTAAGATAATGGTTTTTGCAGTTGGGTATAATAGAGGTAAAAAAAAAGATATGTGCCTAATATATAACACAGTGAGCCTGAGCGGCAGTGGAAGGAGGGAAGAGTAGGTGGAAATAAACAGATTAGCTCTAGGTTATTTTGGCTATATTAAAATATGTATTTTCTACTTTAATATATTCACAATGATTTTCAGGTTAATTGAATGCTAGGCACCAGTCTTTAGACCCTTTACATAGTATCAGCCTCACAAAAATTGGATGAAGTGAATACTACTTTAATTTAACAGATACGAAAACTGTGTCTCAGTGTGACTAAATTACTTGCCCATCCAACTAGTCCGTGTGATCAAGATTTGAACCTTGGCGATCTGATTCCAGAGCCCAGTTTCTTAGCACAGCATAGTAGAAAAGACAAACATAAATAAAACAATCATACAAAAATGTGTATAATTACGAACTGTGATAAGCACCATAGAGCAAAGTTCAGGATCCCATAATTATAGATGCCTGACCCAGTCTGGGAGTTTGGGAAGGCTGTTAAGAGGTAGAGTTTGAGGGAGACACCTGGGTTAATAGGACCAGATGCTAGGTTGATAACTGGCCCATGAACCAGAAAAGGGCAGAGGTGAGAATGGGCATATGATTGGCGGTTGGTCAGGTGTGTTTCTGACAACTGAGATTTGTAAGGCCCCCAGATATGACTTTTCTGGGAGTTACAAGTTTGGTAAAAATGGAGTGTCACAATCTGGAGGAGTCAGCAGAGAGCCACTAGGGAAGAAGAAAAGAGAACTTAGTTATGCTTCCTTTTATTTAGAAAAAAATCTTCAAAAGTTGTCCAAGCTGGTGATCTCCATTTACCCTCTTCCTATCCCTCCTTGACACACTCCTTCAAGCTTCTGCCCCTGTCATTCCTTGAAAATGCTTAGCCACCAATGACTTTTGTATTGTCAAATCTATTGGTCAATTCTCAGTCATCATTTTTTCAAGCTATCAGCAGTATTTGACAGAGCTGATCATTCCTTCTTGAAACAATTTCTATGATTGGTTGACTGACTGATTGATTTAGAGACAGGGTTTCACTCTGTCGCCCAGGTTGGGGTGCAGTGGTGTGATCACAGCTCACTGCAGTCTCAATCTCCTGGGCTCAAGGGATCCTCCCACCTCAGCCTCCTGAGTAGCTGGCATTGTAGGTATTCACCACCCTGCCCATATATTTTTAAAATTTTTCTTAGAGATTGGGTCTCACTTTGTTGCCCAGGCTGTTTTCAAACTCCTGGGTTGAAGTGATTCTCCCACCTTGGCCTCTCAAAGTGTTAGAATTACAGGCATGAGCCACCATGCCCAGCCTGGTTTCTATGTTTGGCTTCCCACACACAACATGGTCTTGATTTACCTCCTACTCCACAGGCAAGTCCTCTCTTTTTTCTTTTTTTTTGAGACAGGGTCTTGCTCTGTTGTCCAGGCTGGAGTACAGTAGCATGATCATAGCTCACTGCAGCGTCACTCTCCCAGGCTCAAACAATCCTCCTGGCTCAGCCTTTTAAGTAGTTGGGACTACAGGCACACTCCACCACACTCAGCTAAATTTTTTTTTTTTTATTTTTTGTAGAAATGAAGTCTCATCATGTTGCACAGGCTGGTCTCGAACACCTGGGTTCAAGCAATCCTCCCTCCTCAGCCTCCCAAAGTGTTAGGATTACAGATGTGAGCCACCATGCTGGGCCAACTTTTTTTTTCTTTACTGGTGCCTTCTCTCATTTCTGAGCTCCAAATGATGAAATACCCCAAGACTTAGCCCCTGAACTGATTGTCTTTTCCATCCATGCTCTCTCCTTACATGATCTCAAACAGTACCGTGGCTTCAAATACCATCAATGTGCTAATAATTCCCAACTGCATATCTCTATCTAGACCTGACTTCTACCCTGAACTGAAGACTGTATCCAATTGCCTGCTGATATATCCATTTAGATAGATAAGAGTGCAGATTCTGGAGCTAGGCTCCCTAGATTTAGATCCTAACTTTGTAATCGGGCAAGGGATATGTGACTTCTCTTTGCCTAGTTTCCTCAATCAAAATGGCTCAATATTATTACTCTATCTCAGATGATTGCTTAAACAAGCGAATAGATTTAAAGCATGTCTTATAACCGTCCAGTCTTTAGACACATGGCATGTTGTTAGCTACAGATAGGCATCCCAAAACAGAGCTATTGCATCTTCTCCCCAACCCCACACAGAAATCATGACTCTTCATCTCAGTAAATGGTATCTCCAGCCATCCGGCTGTTTAATCCAAAAACTTACTGATAAAAAAAAATGTAACTCCTCTCTCACACAACTCACAATTTTCCCATCAGCAAATCCTGTCAGCACCATCTTAAATACATCTAGACTATATTCGTCATTTCTGCTTTTGTCTAAACTACTAAATTTTCTCACCTAGAGTATTCCAAGAGCCTACTAATTGTTGCCTCACATCCAGACTCACCCCATAGGGTCTATTCTTCCCACTGTGGTAAGAGTGATTTGCTAAGAATTTAGTTGTTTTGCCCCTCTGCCCAGAACCTTCTAACATTTTCCTACTGTGCTCAGAGTAAAAACCAGAGTACTTATGGCCAGGATGATCTGGCCTTCTTCATGACATGTCCACTCATGGTCCCGTCGTTTACCACCCTCTCCCCTTTATACTTCACACAGGAAATCTTGCTGTTGCTCAAAGATGCCACCCGTGCTCTGCAGAGATCAGCTTGGCTTTCTCCCAAACTTCCATCAGGTCTCAGCTTAAATGCCACCTTATCAGCAAGGCTTCCCTGGGCCTTCTTATACAAAGTATCATACCTGCCAAGGTATTATGTAACCCCCACTTTATTTTCAAAAAGAGTACCCATCACCCCTATTTCGTATTTGTTTGTTTTGCCTCCTTGCCCCTAGACCATAAACTCCATGTGGGCAAGGCCTCGTTTTATTCACTACTCCATCTCCAGCACTTACAATACTTGGGATGTAATGGCTAATCAAAATATACTTGTTGAATGAATGCATACAGGTAATTTTTTTCTGAGTAAATTATTGATATTCTTTGGATTTGTGTCCCTGCCCAAATCTCATGTAGAATTGTAATCCTTAATGTTGGAGGTGCGGCTTGGTGGGAGGTGATTGGATCATGCAGGCAGATTTTCCCCTTGCTATTCTCATGATAGTAAGTGAATTATCGTGAGATCTGGTTGTTTATTTATTTATTTATTTATTTATTTATTGAGACATTTATTTATTTATTTTTGAGTCTCACTCTGTGGCCCAGGCTGGAGTGCAGTGGCACAGTCTCGGCTCACTGCAACCTCTGCCTCCCGGGTTGAAGTGATTCTCCTGCCTCAGTCTCCCAAGTAGCTGGGATTACAGGCAGGCGCCATCACCCCCAGCTACTTTTTTTGTATGTTTTTTAGTAGAGATGGGGTTTCACCATGTTCCCCAGGCTGGTTTTAAATTCCTTGCCTCAAGTGATCTGCCCACTTCAGCCTCCCAACGTGCTGGGATTACAAGCTTGAGCCACTGCGCTGGGCCAAAATCTGGTTGTTTAAAAGTGTGTGGCACCTCTTCCCCTCTCTCTCCTCCTCATGCTCCAGCCATGTAAGATGTGGCTCCTTTCTCTTCACCTTCTGCCATGATTGTAAGTTTCCTGAGGCCTCCCCAGCCATGCTTCCTGTACAGCCTGCAGAACTGTGAGCCAATTAAACCTGTTTTCTTCGTAAATTACCCATTCTCTGGTAGTTCTTTATATCAGTGCAAGAATGGACTAACATAATTGTTCATTCCAAGATTGCCAGAAATCTGTTTTTTCCTAATCGATCCACATGCTCCCACCCTTTCCCAAATTTACTATACAATTTTTTTCTCACTATGCTCCCCATTTAAGATAAGATCTGGCCATAGTGATAGCATACTGGATTATGCCTTCTTAGAGCTGTTTCATATGTGTACAATCTCAACCATCTCTTTCTTTTCAAAACAATAAGAAAATCATAGTTATCTAAGTCACATTTTCTCTATAACATTGGTTTTCTATTTATTGCTAGAAATATAATGTCTTAGTTCAGAGAGTTTAAGGAAAATGAAATAATTATTATAAAAACACATGATTATTTCCTTGAATAAAATGATAACAATGTTGATAGGTCACAAAAGGTGGTGGAACTAGTGATATGGTTTGGCTCTGTCCCCACCCAAATCTCATCTTGAATTGTAGCTCCCATAATTTCCACGCGTTGTGGGAGAGCCCTGGTGGGAGACAATTGAATCATGGTTTTCCTCATGATGTTCTCGTGGTAGTAAGTCTCGCAGGATCTAATGGTTTTATAAGGGGGATCCCCTTTCACTTGGTTCTCATTTTCTCTTGCCTGCTGCCATGTAAGACATGCTTTTGTTCCTACTTTGCCTTCTGCCATGATTGTGAGGCCTCCCCAGCCATGTGGAACTGTGAGCCCATTAGACCTTTTTTTCTTTCTTTCTTTATTTTTTTTGAGACGGAGTCTTCCTCTATTGCCCAGGCTGGAGTGCAGTGGCACGATAGAGGCTCACTGCAACCTCCGCCTCCTGGTTTCAAGCAATTCTCCTGCCTCAGCCTCCCATGTACCTGGGATTACAGGCATGCACTACTACGCCCAGCTAATTTTTTGTGTTTTTAGTAGAGATGGGGTTTCACCACGTTGGCCAGGCTGGTCTCAAACTCCTGACCTCAGGTGATCCACCTGCCTTGGCCTCCCAAAGTGCTGGGATTGCAGGCATGAGCCACTGCGCCCAGCCTAAACCTGCTTTTCTATATTAATTACCCAGTCTTGGGTATGTCTTTATTAGCAATGTGAGAATAGACTAGTACAACTAGGGAATTTAAAAGCCTTTAGGAACAACTCAGCGCTTTTCTCAGTTTATTTTTTGCTTATTCTCCACCTAATTCTCATTATGTTTAATTCTCTCCTTTTCTCTGACCACTTGGTTTTTTCATTTGCACTTTTCTGTGCTTTTTTCCTCCTCTTTCTGCTAAATGGTTTACTCTACTTATTTTATTTATTTATTTTTAAGAGATGAGTTCTCACTCTGTCACCCAGGCTGGAGCACAGTGGCACAATCATAGTTGTTCACTGCAGCCTTGAACTCTTGGGTTTAAGCAATCCTCCCACCCCAGTCTCCAGAGGAGCTGGGACTACAGGTATGCACATCACCACAACCAGTTAATTTTTTTCTTTTTGGTGGAGATGGGGTCTTGCTATGTTGCCTAGGCTAGTCTCAAACTCCTGGCCTCAAGCAATCCAACTGCCTCTGCCTCCCAAAGTGCAGGGATTATAGACATTAGCCACAGTGACCAGTTCTCTACTTATTGCTATATGTGGTAGAAGGTGGCTGTCCTACAGCTCCTTAAGCAGAATAACATCAGATCAAGTGTACAGTCCAGAATAAGCTAGCCCCTTCAGTTCCCAGTATAAATCTTCAGGAGACAGAATCCTTCAGTTGGCCAGTGAGACTGGGTCTTTACTATCTACATGGCTGCCAAGGGCCTGGCCTTCTGGGAAGTGTGTATTGGGAGGAGGATTCTTAAAGAAAGAGAGAAAGTTGTGATGAGCTGAGCAGACACCCACCAAAGGTTTCTACTGCAGCTAGAAATCAGACATAAATAATCTGAAATCTGTGAAAGCTGACACTATAAGTTTTAGGATAAGGAGGATTCTTCTATTCTTTGGTAGGTTGGTTTGGTCATTTCTAATGTTCCAACAGTACAAACATGTATAGCGTTTTAAAAAGGTATGCCTTCATTCCCATCTTCCACAATTTTAACTAGTAGCTAGTTCTGTGTGTAATCTCTGTGTAACCTTACACATATAACTTTTGTTGTGATACATAAATGGGTTCATATCACATATATTAAACTGCAACTTAAAAAACACCTTAGAAAAAAGTCACAGCAAGGTGGTATTATCTCTAATAAAAGAAGAGACAGAAGTTAAATAACAGATGGCTTCCTATGGTAGTAGCTACTGACCTCTTGATTAGTTTTTGCATCCTCCTATCCAACAATTGTGACAATTATGTTTGATAGGCTTACCTATGGTAAAGTGCTGGCCAAAATGGAGTAACCCCACTAGAGTCTATCTTACCCATCAATTACAACTAAAAACTCTGGATAATTTAAAAAAACAAACAAAAAAACCAAATAGCTGAAGATTTTGGAGCTTACAGAATACCAAATTGGTAGGGAAAGTCAAAATTAAAAGGATGACTGGTATGGTGATAATGAGTTTTCTATAATTTCGTCTATCTCCCGGTTTTGACTCAGGGTAGATTGAATTGGGGAACTCCATTGTCAGCATGCACAACAAAATCTCTAAGAGAAACCCCTCTTTCTTGCTGGAGGACCAGGAAAAGGGACCTTTTCAAGCAGGAGAGTGTTGAGAAAAACCCTCATTTTGTTTTCTCTTTTTTTCTCTCCCAGCCTTTCCCCAAGGCCAGGCATAGTCATGGTGCTGCATTAACTGATGGAGGTGGAGTGGGCACCTAAAACTTAGAAAAAACCATCTTAGTATAGAAGGAGTAGAAAAAGATGCCTTTGTTGCACAGTGTGTGTTGCGGGGAAATATCTCCGTGTTTTTGTTTTTGTTTTTGTCTTTTCCTCTTTACTTTCATCACTTTTTCTGGAGAGAAGCCTTATCACAAGAAACTAAGTGGCAGTTCAAGAGGACTTCACCTGAAAGAACCCTGTATTTCTATTCAGAAGAACTAGAAGAGTCCCTAGGAGCCAGAGAGTTGGGGAAAATCCTGGTGCAGATAGAGCTGGAAGAGATCACCCGTTTCTGCATATGAATCAACACAAGTCCCTGGCTCACCCCCAAGTTACGCATGCGTGAAACATAACCAAAGAAGCATAGCAAAAGCTTTAATAAACCACTGCCCAAGCCTCAAACTAACACTTAAGTGGCATATGTGAGGGAGAGACCCAAAGAACATAACAAATGCTTTGAAAACTGAAAAGACATAGATATTCACCAAAAGAAAGTGAAACAAAACTAACAACCTGAAGCTAACTAGACCAATTAATTCCTAAAACAACCCTTCTCTCCATCCCCTGCCTCCCCCTAAAAAACATAATTGGAAGGATTTTTAACAAGGTATTACAACACAAATTGAAAATGCAGAGGATGTAATCCAAAATTACTAGACACATAAGAAATCAGCAAATTGAACCAAATCTTAAGGGAGAATACAATCAACAGATGCCAACCCTGGAATGATCATATATTAGGATTATCACACATAGGTATTAAAGCAGTTATTATAACCATCCTCCAAGAAGTAAAAGTGACCCCTCTTGAAATAAATAGCAAGATAGAAGTTCTCTGCAGAAAAATAGAAAGTAAAAAAGAACCAATGAGAAATTTTAGAACCTAAAAACACCATATCTAAAATAAGTTCACAAGATGACAGCAGTAGCAGAATGGGGATGACAAGGGGGATGTTAGTGAACTTGAGGTTAATCAATAAAAATTGTACAATCTGAACAAGAGAAAAAAGGTTGAAAAAAGTAAATGGAGCCCCATGGACCTGTGGGACAATATCAAAAGACTTAACACTCATGTAATTGGATTTCCTGAAGAAAATAAGAAAGAGATTTAGGAATCTAGGTGGCACACCAGAGTGCCCCATAGGGTAAGACACATGGCACCTTCCTGCTCTGGTACTCTGATTCTTAGAATCGTGATATTATGAGGATTAGACAGCTAACAATGCTAAGGGAGAAAATTAAAGAGTCTTAATCTCACTAACCTCCCACAGAAAACAGAAATTAAAGAAGAAATTGGGGGTGTGGTGGGGTGTTGTAGGAACAAATTTAAAACACTTCTTCTTACAACTACTGGCTTTCTAAGGAAAAAATCTTACAGCTCCAAGGAGAGTAATGCCTGTAAATACATGCTATTCAGCAAACCTATTAACATAACTCAGGTATTGGCAAACATTTTCTTTGAAGGGCTAGATAGTAAATAGTTTAGACTTTGTGGGCTATATTGCTCAACTCTGCCATAAGTTAGAAAGAGTTAGTGAGAAAGCAACTATAAATAATACTTCAACCAATAGGTGTGGCTATGTTCCAATAAAACTTTACTTACAAGACCAGGTGGTAAGTGGCTTTGGCCCACAGGATACAGTTTGATGACTGATATAACTTAACTCATTCCCTTTCTGGATACCATAGAGTACCATGCAAATCCTAGAATGATTACATGACTTCCACGTGAATGGGAACGAAACTGTTTCCTTGTTAAGCCATTTTAAAACTGAATTTTCTGTCACTTGCAATTGAACCCCCTTCTCTGCCTGGTGGGATTAAAGTAAATAAAGAATAAAGTAAATTACAGAAATTTGTTTTAGACAGAGTGATCAAAGAAAGCTTCCACAAGGGAGAAAAGTTTTAGCTTCTATAACTTAAGTGCTGTGAGAAAACAGAACTGATGGGTGTTTGTGGGAGCAACTATCAGTAGTCCCATAGATGCATTTTAACCTGCCCCTTAATTTTAGTTAGGCATGTGGCCACCCAGAATAAAGATAATCTTTCCCAGCTTGTCTAATTTGTGGCTAAATGGGAGTGTGTGACTAAGTTCAAGCCAGTGGTATGTAAACAGATGTAGTATGAGCAACTTCTAGAATTGACCTTAGAAGTGCCCTTTTCCCATTTTCCCCTTCCTGCCAGTTGGAATATACGTGTACTGGCTGCAGCAGGAACAGCCCTCATGGACAATGATGCACACTTAAAGTAGAGGCCACACACTGTGAAGACAGGATTAGGGATCCTTGGATCCTGACACCATAAAGGTCTACCAGATCTAGACTGACTACCTGACTCACAAAAGGAATAGAAACCTTTTTTCTTGTTAAGTTACGGTTATGTTGAGTTTTATGCCACTTGCAACTTTGCCAAACTCAAATTATTAAACTTATGTTAAATTGAGGGGTCCATTGAGTGTCTCTAAGAGGCAAGGAAATTTAGCCAAGATCTCAAAGACAAAAAGGAGCCAAGCCTAGATAAAGCAAGAGAAAAAAATCGTCCTGGCATAAGGCACTGTTTGTGCTAACATGTTGAGGCAGCAAAGAATACAGTGTATGAGAAGAACTGAAACAAGGTCATGTGGCTGACATTTTGTGAGAGAGGTGTAAAATAGTAAAGGATAAGACTGTGGGCATAGGAAGGGCTCAAATCACAAAGGTGAGGAGTATAGATTTCACTGTAAGTACAATAGGAGGCCACTGCAGGATTTTAAGCAAAGAGGTTGATCCAATTTGTGCCTTCCCTTGCCGGCTGCCACTGACTGCCCCTCAGCACCTGGTTTCCAGTCTCTTTCTGTTGATGCTACCCGATGCCTGCAAGCAGTCCTCTTGGACAAGCTCCCTCCCAAGGCAACCCAGGTCTGGCTCCCTGCCTCAGGGGTTCACACACTACTTCCCTACCCCAGTGGCAATACAGCGTATTCCTTCCACAGCACTCACTCCTTGCCCTGCCAACAAGAGCCACTCTAGCCAACCTTTTGCCTTCAGATGTCAGCATCCAGACAGGGATCAATTTCTATGCGTTCCAAGTGCCAGAAGATACATGTGAGCCTCTCAAAGTGATTCTCTGTAGTTCCCCTATTTAGCTTAAAGGAGAGTGAAAACACTGCACCTTTCCATATTTAGTCTCTAAAGAAATCCTAACTCTAGAAACTTTATCCCCCCAGTGAATTATTTTATACACACACACACACACACACACACACACACACACACACACACAGAGTGAGCTAATAAAAGCAAATTTGCTGATAAAAGTAAATTTTGGCCACCTCCTTTGCAATAGTGGTCTAGCACCTCAGTTAGAATATTGGATACATTACAGCTATTTTTCTCAGGTTTGTCCCTCAGCAGAAATTTTGAGGAAAAGAAAGTGACATAATAACATCTTTCAAAAAGATTTCCAAAACTAAGATATGATTATCAGTAGTTAAACGCTAAAGGCAACATTCTATTCATTTAATCAAAAATATTTTTAAGGACCTACCACATATACAGGTACTATCCTAAATCCTGAGGACATAACAATAAAAAATCTCAATTTTGGCCAGGTGCTGTGGCTCACGCCTGTAATCCCAGCACTTTGGGAGGCCGAGGCGGGCAGATCACGAGGTCAGGAGATTGAGGCCATCCTGGCTAACACGGTGAAAACCCGCCTCTACTAAAAAAATACAAAAAATTAGCCGGGCGTGGTGGTGGGCGCCTGCAGTAGCTGAGGCAGGAGAATGGTGTGAACCTGGGAGACAGAGCTTGTAGTGAGCCGAGATCGCGCCACTGCACTCCAGCTTATTTTAAATAGGTAATCTGCATGGAAGTAGTAATAGAAAATGTGTTTGGAGTAGGTTGGTTAGGAAAAAATACAGAGTGTGAAAAAGGGTAAGGTAATTTATGTACAAAGAAGGGTAAGGGAATGCATGGGAACTCTCTGTCCTTTCTGTTCGATTTTTCTGTAAACCTAAAAATTCAAGCTGGGTGCAGTGGCATATGCCTGTAGTCCTAGCTACTCAGGAGGCTGAATTGAGAATGAGAGGATCCCTTGAGCTCAGGAGTTTAAGACCAGCCTAGGCAATATAGCATGACTCCATCTGTAAAAATAAAAGGTGAAAAAAATTTTTTTTAATAATCCTAAAAATGCTCTAAAAATAAGGATATTAGTTAAAAGATATATAGAGAGCATGAGACGTGAAGGGTGCTTATTATCATTTGGTTAGATTTGGAATCAATGTGACTATTTAAATACAAGAAAACAAGATTTGTTTTGTTTTGCTTTATTGGTTGATTGACTGATTGATACAGACTCTCACTGTGTCACCCAGGCTGGAGTGCGGTGACCAATTTTGGCTCACTGCAACCTCTGCCTCCCGGTTTCAAGTGATTCTCCAGCCTCAGCCTCCCAAGTAGCTGGGATTACAGGCGAGCACCACTACCACCTGGCTAATTTTTGTATTTTTAATAGAGACAGGGTTTCACTATGTTGGCCAGGCTAGTCTCAAACTCCTGACCTCAGATGATCCACCTGCCTCCGCCATTCAAAATGCTGGGATCACAGGCAAGAACCACCATGCCTGGTTGCTTTATTTTTTTTCAATTTTTTAAATTTTTTCAGAAACAGAGTCTTGCTCTTTCACTCAAGTTGAAGTGCAGTGGTGCAATCATAGCTCACTGAAGCCTCCAACTCCTGGGCTTAAGCAATCATCTTGTTTCTGCCTCTCAAAGTGCTAGGACTATAGGCATGTGCCACCATGCCTAGCTAATTTTTTAAATGTTTTGTAGAGACAGGGTCTTGCTTTGTTCCCCAAGCTGATATTGAACTCTTGGCTTGAAGCAAGCTTTATTGTTTTTTTAAAAGTATGCTATTAGTTATATTAATTATCTATTACTATGTAATAGGTTACGCCAAGACTTAGTGGCTTGAAACAACAAATTATCTCATAGTTTCTCAAGATAACAAAATTTTATTATCTCATCTAGAAATCCGGAGGTGGGCTAACTGAATCCTTTGCTTCAAGGACTTTCACAGGTGCAGTCAAGTTGTCAGTCACCATGGGTGACTGGCAGCAATGTTGCTAAAATAGTTTAGCCAACCGTGAAGTTGGGGGCAGACAGTCCACACTACCACTGCCCTCAATTTTCACTCCAATTATAGGTCCAAGGGGTTCTCAAAACCACCCTAATCTTTGATAATTTGCTAGAGAAATTCACAGAACTTATTGAAAACTATTATATTCACAGTTATGGTTACAAGGAAAGGATACAGATTCAAATCAGCCAAGAGAAGAAACCCATATGAGAAAGTATCAAACTTCTGTTTGGTGAAACTTCTGTTTTCTTTTCCCAGTGGAGTCACGATGTGTTACTTTCCCAGCATCAACGTGTGAAAATATGCACAGAATACGGCCAACTAGGGAAGCTCACCTGAGCCTCAGTGTTCAGAGTTTTTAGTGGGTCCTCATTATGCAGGCATGTTAGAGTGATTACCCACATGGTTGATCTCAGTCTCCAGACTGATATCACGTGACTCAAAGACCCATCCTAAATTACATTTTTGATCTTTCAGCCATGGCCAACTGCCAGCCCAAATCACACTGTTAGATTATCCTGTATGATCCTAGGCCCCAGGCAAAAAAGACACTCTTATCAGACACAACATTCCAGAGGCTTAGAAATTACCTCTCATAAGCCAAGGGCAAAGGCCCAGACTCCTTTTTGGACAAGATTAAATTATTTACTATATATCTCCATGAGCTATCTATTGTATTAGATACAATAGATACAGGCCTAGTCATCTCAAATCTCAACTGCAGAAGAATCTGCTTTCCAAACTCGCTCAGATGATTGTTGGCAGAATTCAGTTCCTTGTGGACTGATGGACTGAGGACCATGGTTCTTCACTACCTATTGTCCAGAGTCTGCTCTCAGTTTTTGCCATGTGGGCCTTTCTAACATGGAAGTTTACTGCATCGAAGTGAACTAATCAAGAAGCTGACAGGGGAAGAATGTTAGTGAGAGAGAGAGTTCTAGCAAGATGTAATCACAGTCTTTTGTAAACTAATTGTGGAAGTGATATCTCATCACTTTTTGCCTTATTCTGGTCAATAGAAGCAAGTCTTTAGGTTCGGCCCACACAAGGGGAGAAGACTGCACAAGGACATGAATACTGGCAGATATTACTGAGAGCAATCTTAGAAGATGTCTATCACAGTAGGCTTTGGGAAAGAAGACAGGAGAGAGGGAGTGGTTGAAGGTTGAAGAAATAGTGGTAATTGAAGGATCAAGCTCCTGGAGGTAAAAGAAAATGGATTAAGAGCACAAGCAGGAGGGAAAGATGATAAAGCTATAGAAAAATGAATGAGGATCAATAATGGAGTTTTTCTTGTATGTAGATTTTTTCAAAGTTCTATGTGGTGTATTCCCTTGTTAATGACTAAGTGCCTTGAACAGTTGTATGAAAAGTCCTTTTCCTTTTATAGGAAAGTTGTTCCTTCTTAACCAACTACATTTCTCTGTTGCTACTGAAGTAGTTGTTTAAATCATAATATGTGTGCCAGGGAGTAGCACTTGAGAGGTTAAGAGTTCATTATCTGTTGCACAAAATTAGTGCATTAAAATACTGTGGGTCAACAGAAAGTCAGCTTACAGTAGGTTGTATAAACATTTACAATAGATAGCTCATGGAGATAACCTAGTATTTTCAATAGCACAGCACAGAACTAAAAGCCATAACTAAGTTGAGCTATCTCAGTGTATCCTCAACAGTGTCCAACTGTAATAATAAGATCATTAGAACTGGAGTTAATATTGGTCAGATATTGCTACAATGTTGAATCCAATTCTAGACTTAACAGCAGTTACTATAAAGTGGTAAGGTGATCCTCATTTACATTTAAGGGATAAGAAGGAACAGTCTTAAACTTTAAATAAGATTTCAATTAAAATCATAAACTTTCTGAAACTGAGACCTTTCAATCAGTGGAATATATCATATTAAGTTGAATTTGTGAAAAGTTTCCCTCCTACAAAACATGACATTCATATTAAATTGTTTGACTTTGAGTCTGATACCTGAAAACACAAGAATACATTATTAAATAGATGGTTTGTGGGTATATTTTTTAAAAAGCAGCAAGTTAGAATGGGTTCATTTATTATACAACATTCAAATTCTATCATATGTCCTCCCTGTTTTTTGTTGTTGTTGTTGTTGGTTTTCTATTTATTTATTTATTTTTGAGATGGAGTCTCGCTCTGTCACCCAGTCTGGAGTGCAGTGGCACGATAATGGCTCACTGCAACCTCTGCCTCCCGGGTTCAAGCAATTCTTCTGCCTCAGCCTCCCGAGTAGCTGGGACTACAGGTGTGTGCCTCCACAACTGGCTAATTTTTGTATTTTTAGAAGAGACAGGGTTTCACCATGTTGGCCAGACTGGTCTTGAACTCCTGACCTCAAGTGATTCACCTGCCTTGGCCTCCCAAAGTGCTGGAATTACAGGAATGAGCCACCGTACCTGGCCTGTCCTGCCCTCTTTTACCAAGTAGCTGAATGGTGCTGGAGAAAATGACAAAACCATGATGACTGAACTCTAATTTTTTGTCACAAATCTCAAATGATAACTCAACACTTCCAGACATTCTTATTATCTTTGCCTAGTAAATATACTTTTCTACTCACCAATATGACAATATTGCACCTCTTCTCTAATTTCTAACAACTACTCTTCCTTCTCACTTCCAGTTGATGTGTCATAGAGAAATAGGTGAAATAAAACAAAAACAACTCAACATTCCAACACGTAGTTCACCACCTCCAGCCATCTTATTCTGTATTTTTAAGATTTACTTTTTTTTTTTACTCTTCCTATTAGGATAAAAATTTTTTCTTGAGCCTATCAGAGGTTGATATGTCATTTGTGTAATGAATACTATCCCCTCTCATCTTTTCAATGCCTTTATTCTTGCAATTATTCCCCTTCTGTTCAGCATCTTTTTTCTTTCCATTTAATAACTGCCATAGCCTCGCAAACATGTTCTAACATCTTTTATCTTGAAAATACCATTTCTTGATCCCTATATGTCCCTCTGTCCTATTTTTATGCTTTATTTTCAATTAAATTCCTGGGTAAAGTTTTGATATTTGCTGATTCACCTCCCATTTTCTATATGACCCACTCCTATCAGATGTTTTTCCCCAACTACTCAACTTAAACAGCTTTTATCAACATTAGTAATGACCTATTTCTTGCCAATACCAATGATTAATCTGTTTTCCTTTATTAGCTTACCCATTCTTTCATAAAATACTTCTCTTGGATTTCATGACAGACATCATACCATACCACACACACTTGATTTTTCTTCTGTGGACTAGCCTTATTTCTTGCTTTTCTTTGCTGGCATTTTCTTGATTACTAGCAAGCTGAATATCTAAAAGTTTTTAAGAGTTTTAGCTTTTACATGTAGGTCTATGATCCTTACTGGGTTAAATTTTATAATATGAGGTAGGTTCATTTTTAAGTGTATCAGTATCCAATAGTTCTCTCACTATTTGTTGAAAAGACTATCCTTTCACCATGGAATTACCTTTGCCAAAAAGCAGCTGATCAAACGTGTATGGGGGCCTGTTACTGGAGTCTCTATTCTTTTCCACTGGCTATGTCTACCCTTAGATCAAAATCATACTGTTTTGATTATTGTAACTTAATGGCAAGTCCTGAAATTAGGTACTGGAATTCTTTCAACACTATTCTTACTCAAAATTGTTTCGGTTAATCTAGGCCCTTTGCATTTCCATATCAGTTTTGGAATGCATTTGTCAATTTCTACAAAAGAAAGTTCTCTGGGATTAGGATTTTGATTGGCAGTCCTTTGAAGCCATAGATAAACTTCAGAAGAACTTTTAATAATATTGAGTCTTCCAATTTATGATTATGCTATCTCATTCTATTTACTTGAATATTCTTGAATTTTTTTCAGCAATATTTTGGAATCCTTGGCAAACAAAATCTGACGCATATTTTGTTAAATTTAAACCTTGTTTATGTCATTAAATGGTGTTGTTTTCTAAACTCTAATTTTCAAATTGTCTTTTCATGTCTATAAAATACAATTAATTTTTGTGTGTCACTGAACCCCGCCACCTTGCTGAACTCATAGTTTTTATATATATTTGTAGAGATTTTTTTAGGATTTTCTATATGAATAATTATGTCATCTGAAAATCAAGACAGTTTTACTTCTTCTTATTCAATCTATATGACATTTATTTCTTCATCTTCCTTATTGCATTGACTAGTTACCTCCAGTAAAATGTTGAGAGAAGTGGAAAAAGTGGACATCATTGCCTTTTTCTCAATCTTAGGAAAAGAACATACATTTTTATAACTAAGTATGATATTAATAGCAGGTTTGTCATAGATATCACATATAAGGTAGGGAGTTTTCTTCCATTCTTAGTTGGCAGAGAGTTTTTATCATGAATAGATGTTGAATTTATCAAGTGATCTTTCAGTGTCTATTGAGATGACAGTTTTTCTTTTTATAGACTTGATATAATGAACTGATTACTTGTAGAAATTTGAATAACCTTGCATTCCTAACATGAATCTAATTTTCTTGTCATATGTCATCCTTTTTGTTTGTTTGTTCTGAGGCGGAGTCTTGTTCTGGAGTACAGTGGCGCGATCTCGGCTCACTGCAACCTCCCCATGCCGGGTTCAAGCGATTCTCCTGCCTCAGCCTCCTGTGTAGCTGGGACTACAGGCACATGGCGCCATACCCGGCTAATTTTTGTATTTTTAGTAGAGACGAGGTTTCACCATGTTGGCCAGGCTGGTCTTGAACTCCTGACCTCAAGTGATCCACCCGCCTTGGTCTCCCAAAGTGCTGGGATTACAGGCGTGAGCCACTGCACCTTGCCATCATATGTCATCCTTTTTATGTACTGCTGGATTTTGCTTGCTAACATTTCTGCTTTTATGTTTGCATGTGATATTGTATTGTAATTGTCTTTTGTCAGGTTTCGATACCAGTGTGGTGCTAGCCTCATAAAACAAGCATCCAATCTCCTAATTTCTCTAAGAGTTAGTATAGAATTGGTATTACTCCTTCCTTAAATGTTTGGGAGAATTTAATAGTAAGGCCATTTGGCCTGGAGAGTGTTTGTTTGTTTTGTTGCTTTTGAGAAATGGTGTTGCTCTGTTGTCCAGGCTGGAGTACAATGGCACACTCACAGTTCACTGCAGCCTCGAACTCTCCAGCTCAAGTGATCCTCTCACCTCAGCCTCCCTAAGTAGTTGGGACTACAGATGAGCACCACCACGCCTGGCTAATATTTGTATTTTTTTTGTGGAGACAAGGGACAGGGTTTCACCATGTTGCCCAGGCTGGTCTGGAACTCCTGGTCTCAAGGGATCCACCTACTTCAGCCTCCCAAAGCCACTGTGCCTGCCCTGGCCTGAAGTTTTCTTGTAAGAAGTGGTGTGTGTGTGTGTGTGTGTGTGTGTGTGTGTGTGTGTGTGCAGAGAGAGAGGAGGGAGGCTTAACCAAAGATTCTGAGTACTACGATAAATACAGAGATACTCAAATTTTCTTCTTTTGTTGATTTTTGACAGTTTGCGTCTTTTAAGGAATTTGTCCATTTCACCTATGCTTATTGGCATAAAAATGTTCATAATGTTCTTTTAATATCCTTGTCCTTTTAATGACTAAATTTCATAGTGATGAAACCTTTTTAATTCCTGATACTGATAATTTGTTTATTTTCTTTATCAGTTTGGGTAGGGGGGTTATCAATTATATTGCTCTTTTAGAAAAACAACTTTTGCATGTATTTCCTTCCATTTATTTCATCCCATTTATTTCTACTATTTATCATTTCATTCATTTTGCTTGCTTTGGTTTCAATATGCTGGGGGTTTTTTCTAGTTACTTAAGACAAAAGTTTATTGAATTGAGTTCTTCTTTTTAATGTAAGCAGGTACTGTTACAAATTTTAGTGTTTTCATTTTAATTTAATTCAACGTATTTTCTAATTTTCCTGTGATTTTTCCTGATTCACAGGTTAGTTAGAAGTATGATTCTTAATTTCCAAATATTTAGAGTATTTCAAGTATCTACTTTATTTCTAGTTTAATGCCATTATGATCAGACTATACACTTTGTACGATTTAAATCTTTTTAAAGTTGATGACATTTGTTTTATGGCTCGGAATATGGTATCGCTTAGTGAATGTTTCATGTGCACTTGACAGGAGTGTGTATTCTGCTATTGTTGGGTTGGTCACCTATAAACGTCAATTAGGTCAAGTTGGTTAGTGCTTTCCAAGTTTTCCATATCCATACTAATTTTCTGTCTACTTGTTCCATCTGTTACAGAGAAAATTAATTGTTGCACTTGCCTGCCTCACAGTCCATGGACAAAAGGCATCTGCATTCTAACAAGAGTTGCTGGCCCCAGAGCGGGAAGAGGGGACGGCGCGACTGTGGGTGTGAACGAGGCACTCACTTCGCACTCACTGGAGTAAATATCTTCTCTTTGGTCCGGCCAGAGGATAAACCCATAGTCCTTAAGTCCTCTCCTCCGCCTCAGCAGCAGTTCTGTTTTTTTTTTTTTACCAGGCCCCGCCTTTCAGCCGAACGCACCAATTAAAGGTACAAAAAAAAAAGTTTCTCAGTACCTCGTCCCGGACTGACGGACTCTCGCGAGAATTCGTGGGGCTCCGACTGTTTCCGCGCAGATATCGCGAGGCGATTGGTAGCCGGGGGAGGGCTGCGCCGTGGCCCCGCCTTTCCGGAGCGCGGGCGCGCGGTGGCGGGAATTTCGCCTGTTTGCGGTTTAGACCCCAAAGATTCCTGTTGGTGGTCTGGGTCACAGGAGGCAGGTTTCGGGAGCTGGAAATGTGAGCGGGTACGACAGGCACCGCGGGTAACCGACGCCCCGGGTCCTTGCTGCAGCCGGGTACGCGGGATACCGGCACCCCGCCTTCTCCGCCCGAGTGCTGCCAGGCGTGGGCCTGGTGGGTCTCGCCTCCTCCTTGGAGGGTCGGGGTTGGCCCTAGGGGTTGCTTTCCTAATTTCCACCCCGAGCCGGGGAGGGAGCGTTCTCCACCCTGCTGCTGGGAAACGGGCGGAGAGTGGTTTAGAAACGTTGCGGAGGGCGCAGTTCTAGGCAAGCCCGGGACGCTATGTCCTGCAGACATTTCTTTGCTTTTCACCTTGTCCTGGGCTGCAGAGCCCGACTTAGTGGCCGGATTTCGAGGTCCCTGCCACAGCCAGTTGGTTGTGCATTTTGTCTTAAGTTCTGACAGCCTTGATGGACGGAGGGCGAGGGGGAATTGGGAATTTGGCCTCTGGGTTTGTTCGTTTGTTTTTCCTTCCTGCTGGCGGACGTCTTGAGAACTTTCTGAAGTAATCCCCACTCTCTCGGCCCCACCCCCCCCCCCCCAACAGGAATCTCTTCACACCTTCTCTTTGGAGCCCTTAATGATACGACGAACCCCAAGTGTTTCAGAACATGAAGTAAACAATGGAGAACTGTTCTGCTGCATCGACGTTCCTGACTGACAGCTTAGAGCTGGAGCTGGGGACGGAATGGTGCAAACCTCCTTACTTTTCTTGTGCTGTTGACAACAGAGGAGGAGGAAAACATTTTTCTGGAGAATCCTACCTCTGCAGCGGAGCCCTTAAGCGGTAGGTAAAACTCAGAGACATTTTCCCTCATCTGATTATTCACCAGTTTTTTAGGAATGTTAGTTATTTCAGCCCATTAAACTTTGGTGTTCACCAAGTCGTGTTTTATAAATCAGCTTAGTATATCATAAGGGTACAAATGATTATCAGTTCTGCTGGCTTCTTGGTAAGGGCATATCTAAAGTATTTGGGGTATTAGGGAAAACTTCCTTGGTAACTGATGTTCCCTTACTGTAGGGAGCTGGGCACTAATTTTTCTTCTACTTAAAATGAATTCCTAACTATCTGAGCCTTTTGCAGTAGTATTTCCTTCTAAAGAGTGTGATAATATTCTAGAGCTTTCCAGTAATATTTAAGAGAGACAAACATTTTTTATTGCCCCTGTTCCTTCTAATCCTACCTGCACATATAGAAGTGTATAGACTTATTTTGCCTTGGGCAGGTACATATATATTACAGTAAAACTGTTCTTGAAATATTTTGGTAATACCTGCTGAGGCAGTTTCAGTGAGGAAACTATTTTTGTTGACCTTATAGTTGTACCTTGTTAGAAATCTTAAATAGAATACTCAACTTCATTAGTTGGATACTATTCTCCAGACATGGCTCAGAATAACTGTTAGCAGTTTTAAAATTAAATGTCCCCTCAAAGGATGAAATTCTACAACTGAAGACTACTGGTGAAGACAGGCAGAAATATGTTTTTTAGAATTCTTGTTGATTTTTCCTCTTAAGTTACATTACACTTTAGTCGTACATTTTATCAATATAGAAGATTGACGTTTTAATACAGTCTAGCTATTGTAATCTTGAATGTGTAAAGTACCAAGGCATTTTCTGACTTTTTATACATGTCATGTATAATATGGATTCAAATAATGTAAAGAAAAGAGCCGTCGTATTATGGTACTTAGTATACTTTTTATGAGATTGAAACAATTTTCATTTCAGATTGATTTTGAATCTTGACCCTTTACCAACTAATTTTGAAGAAGATACCTTGGAAATATTTGGCATTCAGTGGGTTACTGAAACAGCATTAGTGAATTCATCTAGAGAACTCTTTCATTTATTCAGGTATTTCTTCGTTATAACTTTCTGTGAGTGTAGGTGTTGTTCACTTTTGTAAATTACGTTGTTGGGTGGCTTCTAATACTGATATTACAAAAGACCAGAGGAATTGTGCTGGTTGCTCACTTGATTATCTTACCAGTAACAATAATCAAGCAGCAATGCCTGATGAGTAATGGTTTTAATGAGTTGCGTTTTCAGAATCTTTATTCTTTGCATTTGACACATGTATTGACAAATATTTAAGGCTTTGAACTATAATTTTTAGAAGAAAATTAAAATATTTTTGTTGTGCAATAGCCATAGTCTTTCAGTGATCTTTAGAGTATGGTCTTAACAAATAAATTGTTTAGACTGTGTAATAGAAATATTAATTATTTGGACAACATTTAAAATTTTTTTAATGAAAAATTTTAAGCATACACAAAATAATAATATAATGAACATCCATATACCCTCCTTCAGTTGCAGTAAACAACAACTTTTTATTACATTTCCTTCATCTGTCTTGTCTCCTCTTCTTTTGGCCTAAGTATTTGTAAGGAAATCCTAGGCATCATGTCGTTTCACCCATAAATACTTCAGTATGAATTTCTTAAAAATATGTGCTTTTTAAAAACGATGAGGACGGCCAGGCGCGGTGGCTCATGCTTGTAATCCCAGCACTTTGGGAGGCCGAGGCGGGAGTTCGAGACCAGCCTGACCAACATGGTGAAGCCCCTTCTGTACTAAAAATACAAAAATTAGCCAGGCGTGATGGCATGCGTCTGTAATCCCAGCTACTCAGGAGGCTGAGGCAGGAGAACTGCTTGAACCCAGGAGGCGGAGGTTGCAGTGATTTGAGATTGCCCACTGTACTCCAGCCTGGGTGACAGAGCGAGACTCTGTCTCAAAAAAAAAACTCATCTCAATTAATAAAAATTAAAGTTCTTCATTATCATTTAAGACACAGTTCATATTCAGATTTTAGGTAATTTTAAACAGGAGTCAGTTATTGAAAGCTAATTATTCCAAAACACAGTAAAAATCTATATGTGATACATTTAAAGGAAAATGGAGAGGTGGAAGGAATTCTCTCACCATCATCCCATGAAACCTTTTGAAGAGACTTAAACTGTATCTACGCCATGTCATACGTTTTATTGATAGAACAGGCTCAGTGAGTGATCCTCTGTAATCCTGAAGATTACAGAATGAGCGAGTCTTTATCTAGGACATAGGTTATAAATATGGGTTAATTTTTAAAGACTTTGAAATCAACTAGGAAGAATAGCAAGAAATTGCTATCAGGAATTAAGATGGAACATGATAAATAACAGCTTTCCCTGATACTTTAGTCTACATTATTCCTTTTTTGAACTTCTATTGTATAACTGTATGATACAGTTTAAAATTTTATTATGTAACTGTTAACCTAGAATGTTTTATGTATCTTAAACTTCTTTTTTTTTTTTTTTGAGAGGGTGTCTCACACTGTCACCCTGGCTGGAGTGCAGTGGGGTGATCTTGGCTCACTGCAACTTCCGCCTCCCGAGTTTAAGCGCTTCTTTGCCTCAGCTTCCCGAGTAGCTCGGATTACAGGGTCCCCCCACCACGCCCGGCTAATTTTTGTGTATTTTTAGTAGAGATGGGGTCTCACCATGCTGGCCAGGCTGGTCTTGAATTCCTGACCTCAGGTGTTCCACCTGCCTTGGCCTCCCAAAGTGCTAGGATTACAGGCGGGAGCCACTGCACCCCATCTTAAACTTCTTTTTTTTTTGAGACGAAGTCTTGCTCTGTTGCCCAGGCTGGAGTGCAGTGGTGCGATCTCTGCTTACTGCAAGCTCCAGCTCCTGGGTTCACACCATTCTCCTGCCTCAGCCTCCCGAGTAGCTGGGACTACAGGCGTCCGCCACCATGCCGGGCTAATTTTTTCGTATTTTTAGTAGAGACGGGGTTTCACCATGTTTGCCAGGATGGTCACGATCTCCTGACCTCGTAATCCGCCCGCCTCGGCCTCCCAAAGTGCTGGGATTACAGGCAAGAGCCACCACACCCGGCCGTAAACTTAAAGATATAAACAGTATCTTGCTGATGGTGAAGGCTATGGTATTTGAAATAATTTTTGAGATATATGCAGTCTTTAATAGATAATTTTGGAAGGTCAGGCAAAGATGTATTTTATCTTTTCTTAAAGTTTTCATTACCTGAAGCTGATCCTTTAATTAACATTCACAAGGTATTAATCATCATCCCCAAATTAAAGAGGTATTGAAGCTGTGTAATTTGGAAACATTGTCCACGTAATTGTTACATGCTTTAAAGTGTTCTAAAATTAACTCTCACCTTACATTTTTAAAATTAGGCAACAACTGTACAACTTGGAAACCTTGTTACAGTCCAGTTGTGATTTTGGTAAGTTTAAGGTGTGTTTAATGCAAAAGGGAATGGTGCTTCATTATAGTGAGTTGCACATGGGTCCATGATGGTATAATTGGCATATCATGATAATACAGAGGAAGCATTAGGCCAGAAGTTTACGAATTTAGTGTTCAGAAAAGTATGACTTTTTAAATTTTGTTGTAGCTGAGATATATAGTATTTTCCCAAATCTGTAGATTTTAAAGGTAAAACCGACTTAAGCTAAAATTCTCTGAAGAGAATTAGTACTTGTTTTGGAGGTAGGGAGTGGGATAGAGAACTTAAATGAGAACTAAACAGTGCCAGACCTCATGCTGTCTTCTTGATTTTCTTTTCTGCTTTCTGCTTTTGTGTTTGCTTTTGGTGTGTGATGGATTACTGATTTTTTTTTCTTTTGTTTAGATTGGTATAGTTGGTTTTTTTTTGCTTTTTTTTTTTTTGATAGGGAGTTCTGCTCTTTTGTCCAGGCTGGAGTGCAAAGGTGCCATCTCAGCTCACTGTAACCTCTGCCCCCCGGGTTCAAGTGATTCTCCTGCCTCAGCCTCCCGAGTAGCTGGGATTATAGGCACCTGCCACCACCCCCAGCTAATTTTTATATTTTTAGTAGAGATGGGATTTTGCCATTTTGGCCAGGCTGATCGCAAACTCCTGACCTCAAGTGATCCCCTGCCTTGGCCTCCTGAAGTGCTAGGATTACAGGCATGAGCCACCGCATGTATAGCTAAGGTAATAAAGGGAATTGAAGGGCAGTGTGTTTTAGTGCAGTCTGGCTGCTTCTCCTTTCTAGTAATTTTGGTGCAGTGCAGTGTTTAGAATCATGGCCTTGTCACCCTGGCTTCCAACCCTAGCTAATTGTGGGTCTTACGTCAAGTAATAGTTCTAACTTTGTTGAGCGTGTTAAGTGCTTAACACAGTGTCTACCATTATTGATGCCTAGCAACCAAAGACTACCTGGAACACTTTTGGTCAAACAGAGGTTTATTAGATTATGAAAAAAGGAAAAATACACATTACAAGGAAAAGCTGGGGCTTGTCAGTAAGAGGGAGTAGGAAGGGACTTGTGATATGTTTGGGGCTCATTCTGGTGATTTTCCGTAGGGCTTAAGGGGGATAAGGCTATATTCTGGATTGGATGCTGTTAATTAGCAGGGGCAATTTGAAGAGTGGGTATTTTAATTTTTATCTAGGAGGTGAGACAAACAAAGGGAGCATCCTAATTAGTAAAAAAGTATTGTCCTGGTCACTGGAAGAGGGAGGATGTGTTTTTTTGTTCATTTTGTGTGTGTGTGTGTGTTTTGTTTGGAGTGTGTGTGATTGCATAGTGCCATGTTTTGTATTCAGACATGGTTACAGAGGTTTTGTTTTTGTCTTGTTTCACTGTAATGGAGTGGCCCTGTATCATTATTATTTATTATTATTATTATTTTTTGAGATGGAGTCTCGCTCTGTCACCCAGGCTGGAGTGCAGTGGCATGATTTTGGCCCACTGCAACCTCCAGCCCCCTGGGTTCAAGCAATTCTCCTGCCTCAGCCTCCTGAGTAGCTGGGATTACAGGCGCACACCACCACACCTGGATAATTTTTGTATTTTTGGTGGAGATGGGGTTTCACCATGTTGGTCAGGCTGGTGTCGAACTCCTGACCTTGTGATCCACCCACCTCGGCCTCCCAAAGCGCTGGGATTACAGGCGTGAGCCACCGTGCCTGGACTATTTTTTATGTTTTATGAAAATTGTTTATTTTCAGTAGGGGATACCATGGCCTAGCTGTTAGCTATCAGCTTTTAGGCTGTTTTATATTTTTTGTTTTCTTAATATGTTACGTGATTTGTAAATGTTAAGTATTATTGTTTCATTATCATCTGATGGGTCCCTGGTTCATGCCAGGTACTTTGCAAGGTACTGACGAATCAAAGAGGAAAAATATGCTGCTGATGAGTTTGCAGTTGTGTAGACAGCTAGACATGCAAGCATACATCAGCTTGGTAAATGAAAAGGTACGGTGATAAAGGAATGTACAAGCTGCTGTGGAAGCCAAGGGCTTTGTCTATCTGTGAGCTCCTCACTAAATGATGCCAGATCTGGGTCTTCACAGATGGGAAGAAATTAGCTAGGCAAAAGATTTGGGAAAAGTTTTTCGGACAGGAAGAATTCCAGGCAGAAAAAAATAAAACTGTATAAACAAAGACGTGATGTGTGTAAAAACATAAAAGTTTAGAGAGCATGGATTAAATATTAATTACATATGGTTGGATCAGAATGTGTGTGAGTGATGAATTTGGAAGGGATAAAAGCAGAGTTGGCTTTGTAAACCATGACAGAGAGTATGATTTTTATTTTGGAACTCCTGTGGAGCCACTAAAAGATTATAGTGGAAAGAACCAAAATACCTTTACCTTTACGTAGAATAACTTAAGTAAATTGGGTTCATGGAAGGCATTTATTATGATAGATTATTATTATTACACTTATTAACCTGAAACCACTGCAGTGGACTATTTGTTAAGATGGTTGTTTGTTACACTGACATTTTGGCTGTTTTTGTTGCTTAAAAAAGCTTTTAATGACAGATTTTGGACAAGTTAGTGGTGTTAAATATTATCCATACATGAACATGTCCCTGCCATGTAGCTGTGTTCATTAACTTGTGTAGCTACCCTTGGACCTCAGCTGTGCCAAGAAGTCCCTATGTAGTTACTTACTGCCAGATGAGTATAGTTCTTGTTCTAGCCATTATGCTTCCAGGGTTAATTTCCAGTTGAGGCAGAATAACATACTTAATGACATGTTTTGCTGACAGCTGTTTTTTTTCTCTCTTTCCGTCTCTTTGTCTCTGTCTCAAGACAGGGTCTCACTCCATCGCCCAGGCTGGAGTGCAGTGGTGCGATCATGACTCACTTCAGCCTTGACCTCCTGGGCTCAAGCAGATCCTCCCATCTCAGCTTCCCAAGTAGCTGAGACTACAGGCTCACGCCATCATGCCTGACTAAAATTAATTTTTTGTAGAGATAAGGTCTCACTATGTTGCCAAGACTGGTCTCAAACTTCTGGGCTCAAGTGATCCTCCCGCCTTGGCCTCCTAAAGTGCTAGCATTATAGGTATCACCCACCACACTCAGCCAAGAGCTATTCTTAAATATAATTGTTGGTGTTACCCTGTCTCAGCTATTGTGTGTGTGTTTTTTTTCTCTAGACATTCCTTATGGATTTTTTAAAATGTCTTCTGTTTCTGACTTCATGCTTGTTTTCATCCATCTTGAATATATGGAGTATACATTATAACCACTGTTGTTGCTGCTATTAATAATTCTTCTTTTTGAGAGGGCATCTTGCTCTGTCACCAGGCTGGAGTGCAGTGGCGCCATCTCGGCTTACTGCAACCTCTGACTCCCTGGTTCAAGCAATTTTCCTGCCTCAGCCTCCCGAGTAGCTGGGATTACAGGCACACGCCACCATGCCTAGCTAATTTTTGTATTTTTAGTAGAGACAGGGTTTCATCATGTTGGCCAGGATGATCTTGATCTCCTGACCTCGTGATTCGCCTGCCTCAGCCTCCCAAAGTGCTGGGATTACAGGCGTGAGCCACCATGCCCGGCCAATAATTCTTTTATCACTGTCATTTCTGAAACTATTTGTATTGATTAGTTTTTCTCCTGATTCTGTGATATATTTTTCTGCTTCTTTGAATATATAGTAATGTTTTATTGTTAGATGAACATTGTGGGTTTCACATTGTTGCTTTCTGGATTTTTATTCCTTAAACTAGATGTTGAATTTTGTTATGGGTCGCTATTGTGTAGTTGTAATCCACTGGTTCTTCTTGAGGCTTGTTTTAAATTTTGGTAGGACTTTTAAAAAGCAGCCTTTAATGTTAACTTAGCCTAGTAAATTAGTCTAGTAAGGCTTTGAGAATTCTTTCTCGTGCGTAGTCTATTATGAGATTTTTTTTCATGCTTGCTGGTGAGAACTTGAACTATTCCCTGGCTTGTGTACTCTTTATAGGGAATTGTTTTCTGGTGTTTTTCCCTGGCGTTGGGTAATATTTTTCATGCTTGAACAGATCGATACTTAAATCTCAGAGGGACACTTCTGTACCCTTCCAGAACTCTATTTTGTATAGCTTCTTTCTTCTTGGGTACTTTTGCCCTGCAAATTTGGACTTCCCTAAACTTGGATCCCATATCTCCTCATCTCAAAGAGTGAGTTGGGCTGTATTTGGGTTCTCTTCCTCATATTGAAGCCTGGAAACTGTCTCTAGGTGGGGAGCTGGTACAGTTGTAGGGCTCAGTTTCTCTCTGGGAGAGCAATCTTATATTGTCTTGTGTCCAGAGCCTGAAAACTTGCTTGACGTAATTTTTATGGTTTTCAGCTTTACAGTGGGAGATGGAGCAATCTGATTATTTTACTCCGTCTTGCCTGGATGCAGATGTTCACTGCAGTTATTTTTAAGAGAGTACTGCCTTAATGGGCCGAGAATTGTGAAAATTGGGATGATATGACTTTTTATGGGTGAAATAAAGCCATAAAAATGCAGTTTAATATGGAGGTATTTACACAACTGCTTCACACTTATGCTTCTATTCTGCCACAGTAGTGGCATGATTGTTCATTTGAATTAAACTTTAGTTTCATGTTTAGTATGGCTGTAAATTTGTAGCCTATAATTCTCATCATGTTTTCTTTGCTTTTGTTTACTAGATTGTCTCTTACTCATTCTCTATATAATGATTATTAGTGTTTTGCCCATAGTAACTACCTAGATAATTATTGCTGATATAAATGCTGAAGTAAGTGAGGGAAAGCTGACATGGAGTGAGGTTGGGAGAAAGGCAGCAACTATTAAAAGGTCGTTCAGAGCTTTATAAATTATTATTAGGAGTTTTGATTTTATTCTAAATATAATAGGTATTCTTTCAAGAGTTTTGACTTGGGAACAAGATAAATTGATATACATTTTAAGCAGATTTTTTACTTAGTGTATAGGGGGACAAAAGAGAGCATGGAAAGACCTGTGAAGAGTGCTATTGTGGTGGTTTAAGTGTTTATAGGGAAAATGGATAGTTTCAATGTATATTTGGTTATTAACTTAATAGGACTCTGAAGGATTAGATACGAGGTTAAAGGAAATGCAAGAATCAAGAACCATATAGGCTACTGGTGGCACCATTTTATGAAAGGCTGAAAACAAGGACAGCATCAACAGGTTTTGAAAGAAATCAAAGGAGGTATTATTTGCACTGTCTGAGCAATCCAAGTATAGGTGTTAGGCAGTTTAACACGGAAGGTCTGGAGTGCAAAGGAGAGATGGGGTTGTAGATAACCCTTTTAGAGTCATTATCATTTATTAATAAAGGAACTGATGAGATCATACATATGGGAAGAGATATACAGAGAGTAGAGGATTCAGGACTGAGTCTTGAAGAGACCATATTAATAATAGAATTGAGGAGGAGGAGCCAATAAAAGAGGTAGGACAAAGGATACATGAGGAAGAAAGAAGACTCATTATCTGGCACCATGAAGCCAGGTGTAGCTAGTGCTACTGTGGGAGCAAGTTACTTGAGGGTAGGCACTGTCTATTAGATTGGGCAATGTGGGTGTGATTGGTGACTTTAATAAGAGCATTTTTTGAGGAGTAGCGGGGAGCAAGAACCATAAGAGAATGTTTAATATAAAATGTTACAAGATAGAGAATTGCTGCCGGTATGGCTTACAACATTTTTTGTCACTGCCCATGATAATTATTTGAACTATGATTAACATTGTCTATTTTGGTTTCAGGGAAGGTATCAACTCTACACTGCAAAGCAGACAATATTAGGCAGCAGTGTGTACTATTTCTCCATTATGTTAAAGTTTTCATCTTCAGGTAGGATATCAGATGAGTATTTTGATCACTGCATGAATTTCTGTGTGTATTCACACAGACTCTAGTTGTTTATTTTATCTAATTATTTTTTAGGTATCTGAAAGTACAGAATGCTGAGAGTCATGTTCCTGTCCATCCTTATGAGGCTTTGGAGGCTCAGCTTCCCTCAGTGTTGATTGATGAGCTTCATGGATTACTCTTGTATATTGGACACCTATCTGAACTTCCCAGTGTTAATATAGGAGCATTTGTAAATCAAAACCAGATTAAGGTTTGACTTGTTTCATTTGATTTTTAAATTATCAGCTTTTTCTCCCCACAAGGAGTATTCATTCAAGAAGGAGAGAAATTAGTCAGAATTACAGCTCTGGAACCTGACTGCCTGAGTTGAAATTCTTGCCCCCCATCCTCCTTTTATTAATTGTGTGCTTTTGGGCAAATGACACCTCAGCCTCCACATCTGTGTAATTCTTACAACTTACCAGAATCATTGGATGAATTAAATAAATTCATATACATGAAGTTATTAAAACATAGTAGTCATTGAATCAGTAGCTATTCTCTTGATTTATGACAGTATAAGTGTCTGAAAATTTTAAAGCAAATGAAATAATCTTTATTTTCTGAAATTTTTATCATATATTACAGTAAGATTCAAGATCAGCTTATAAAAAAAACTTTCAAGACCACATCATTATGTGTATTCTGACTTTTGAGGCCTTTTTGGAATGTGATTAAGATTGTTTTGACTGTGCCCTTTTTTTCCTACCTGTGATAATCATTCCCTCTGAAGTTTGGTTTTTAAAACTTTATATTGTTACCGTGCCTAGCTTATAGATAAGTAATAGATTCTGCCTATGAAAATGGGAGCTTATATGAATAACAAATTATGGTAATTCACAGTGAGATTCCCTGAAGTCTCAACCCCTTTCATTATATTTGACTTTACCGTTTTGAATAATATTTACTCTTTATGAATATATCTTTGTTAAAATATAAAAACGGCTAAGCATGGTAGCTCATGCCTGTAATCCCAACACTTTGGGTGGCTGAGGCAGGAGGATTGTTTGAATCCAGGATTTGAGACCAGCTTGGGCAACATAGCGAGACCCCATTTCTACAAAAAATTAAAAAGTTAGTCCAGTGTGGTGGCACATACCTTGTAGTCCCAGCTACTCAGGTGGTCGAGGTGGGGGGATCCCTTGAACTCAGGAGGTTGAGGCTGTGGTGAGACATGATTGCACCACTGCATTCCAGCCTGGATGACAGAGCAAGACCCTATCTCAAGAAATAAAATAAGTAGAATTAAATGTTTACATATTTCTGTGAAATGAAGCAGAAACAAGTTTTTCATCAGAGATCAATATATGTAATAATAAAAGCAAAGTTCTAACTGAATTTACAAGTTAATATATCTAATCGATAGAAAACAAATAGGTAATTGCTTTTAATTACGTCATTTAATAAAAAGATTCATGAGTAGATTGTTGAGGGAGGGATATTTTCCTTACTAGTTTCTGTAAATTGGACTGGTTTTTATTTTCTGGTTATCCATCAAATATGTAAGAAATAAAAATGAATAATTTATATAGCAGCAGAAATAAAAATTTGTGCACTGGGGTCCTCAAACTAGGTTTTGCCTTTCATAGGCTTTTTAATTAGGCAGACTTGAAAAGATAGGTTATTTGAAGCTCAGAAGACTAAATTTTTAAAGCAGGGGAACTTTACAGTCTTCAAAAAATAAAAAATCACACACTAAAATACTGTTCTTTTCTGAAACAAAAAAGCATAATAAAATAAAAAGCATCTTTCAAGACTTTATATATTTGTTATAACAGTCTTGTATATGAAATGTCTTGTTTTAATTGGTACTTCCAGTTGAGCTTCTTTTATTTTTTAAGAACTCTCTAGGTATATATTAGTTGTTCAGAATTATGTATTGCAAATATTTTCTTTTATTTACTTTTTCATCAAGTAAGCTGACTTTCTAGGTCGATTTGAATTTTTTAGATAGTTATATTTTTCCGTTTTTTGTTTTATCTATGCTGTTAAAATATTTTGATTGTTGCTTTTATTTCTTTAATTCATGTTATTTTTAAACATGCAGTGAGGTGAGAAGTCTAACTTTAGTTTCTTGCAAAGTTAAAAATCTTATTTTTTATTGAATGACCCATACTTTTCCCATCGATTTCAGATGCCACATAAATTTATTTCTGTCTTGTCTGTTCTTGCTGTTTGTTATCTATTTCTGTCCCAATATTGTTTTGTCAGTGTAGCATTTTATTTTGTTTGTATACCTAATAAGGCAGGTCTACTCTTCATCATTCTTTCTATTTGTTTTAATGGAACATGTTATGTCATTGTATTTATTTTTATAGTGATGCTAAATGCTGACAGGAGGAAGGTTATTGATAACCCAGTATAACACAATACTTGAAAGTGCTGGGTTTTGACTCAGGTAGAATTGAGTTTGAATACTAATACATGAATTGAGAGGTAAATTTTTTCACCTCTTTTAACTTCTGTTTCTTAATGAGATGACAATAATGTCTACATGACAGTCTAAAGTTCTTTTGTTAAAATATTTTATAGGAGTTCCTGGGTACTCATACATTAAAAAAAATTTCCTAGCTAAATTCTAAAACAAAATTATGAAAATACGTGTTAAAAAATTCTTTTACTGCCTTGCAGCTGTAGTAGAATCAGAGGTTGGTTGGAAGGTACCTTTACTATACAAGTCTATTCAGCAGCCCCAAGGTGGGTTTGTCTTAAACCAACAGATGAAAATATTTCCTGCTTTCAAAGATCTTCAGTGAAAGAATCCTCTAATGAACAAGACAGAGGTTTTCCCTGAGCTTTTGAATAGTGGTAGGTTAATTGGTTCTTTATCCTTGTGTTTATGGAGGAGTATTGTGACATGCTATGAAATACCTAGTAAAATATTAATGAATTCTCAATCACAGTTGATAATGTCATCCACAGCTTTTTCCACCGTCATGGCATTTATTACATCTCCACTTGGATATACATTGGCTGGTGCTAGAAATTCTTTACATGCTGGGTGAAAAATTGAGTAAGTTTATGGATTTATGATTTATATTCTTTTTAAAATCAGCTTTTATTGCTTTTTAAAATTACATAAGTAATAAGTGCTTTCTGATATTTAAAAAAAAATCAAATAGTAAACAAAGTATGAAGTAAAAGTTTTACTCCTTTCTTTCCAGAGATAACTATTGGGAACAGCTTGGTTTATCTTTCCATATTTACCTTCTATCTGTTAGTATACATATATAGAAACTCATAGGTAAAATTTTGTTTTTGTTTTTAACCACAGATATGATCATCATACTGTTCAGTGTGATCTTTCATTTATCAGTGTTTTAGCGATCTGTTTATGTTAGTACCTATAGTTCTACTTTATCCATTTAAAGGCTGCATGTTATGGTTCTACTATATTTAGCCATGCCTATTTTTAAACATTGAAGTTACTTTCATTTTTTGATTTTACAAATCATTTTTCACTGAACACCCTTGTGTATAGAAATATATCTTTAATCTGCGTACAAGTTATTCTGTAAAATATTCTTAGAAGTAGAGTGGCACATCGTAGTTTTAATATGTATATGCTGCTGTTTTGCTGAATAGTAAGTCCTGCTGATATATAGGCATTAACTGTAGTGTGCCTTTACTTCATACTCTTGCCAGTAGTTGATATTATCAATTATATTTTATTTTTTGCCAGCTAACATGTGAAAAATGAAATGGCTTTTTTTTATCTGCAATTTCTTGGTTACTAGTGAAGTTGAACATCTTTACGTTTTATTGTCTATATTTGCTTTATTAATTACTCATTGTATTTTGCAAATTTTCCTCTTTTTTTAGTAGGAGTTTATACATATTATGGATAAATATCTTTTATCCTTGTGGATATGTTGCCCATTTATTTCTTGATGTTGCTCTTTGGCATTTTTAAGTTCCATTGGCAACCTGTCACTTAGGTTGTAAAGATGTCTGTTACTCCTACACCTGCTTTTCTGTTAATAAATACATACATATATATGTCTATATATGTATATACTTACATATATATGTCTATATAGGTATATACTTACATATATTCATACACAGAAACATATGAAGATGTACACCAGTATATAATTTCCTCTCATGTGGACTCTGTATTTCACATTAATATATTCTTAGAGTAATACTCAAGTGGACTTATTCTGATAAGTAAAAATTTTGGTTATCTATTACCTTGGTTTGCCCTATTTTATGCCATAAAACAATTGCATGGGATCAGTTTATCAGTATTTGTTAAAAAAATAATGTTTTAAAGGCTTTGTTGGTTAGAAATGTGGATGAAGATTTTATGTTGTTCTCTCTCTTTTTTTTTTAAGTTGTGTTGCATTAATGCTTCTTAAAGATAGACTTATTAGGAAAAGAGAAGTTTATTAGATGTTACTTGGAAGAATTAGAAACTTTTGGGCTGGACGTGGTGGCTCACGCCTGTAATCCCAGCACTTTGGGAGGCCAAGGTGGGCAGATCACAAGGTCAGGAGATTGAGACCATCCTGGCTAACACGGTGAAACCCCGTCTCTACTAAAAATACAAAAACAGAATTAGCCAGGTGAGGTGGCGGGTGCCTATAGTCCCAGCTACTTGGGAGGCTGAGGTGGGAGGATGGCCTGAACCTGGGAGGTGGAGCTTGCAGTTATCTGAGATCGCGTCACTGCACTCCAGCCTGGGTGACAGAGACCTCGCCTCAAAAAAAAAAAAAAAAGAAACTTTTGAAGATAATGTTTATCAGTGCTCATATGAGAAGGTTGTCCTCAAATTCATATTTTATTTGCAAAAAAAAATTAAAAACTGTATGTTTTAGTTTTGTTATAATTTAAAGATGTACAGTCACTTTTTCCTTTCTGACTTAGTAAAATCTGTATTTTAAAACTATTTTTATTACATTTTCAGAACAAGTTGTATATGGTCATCAGTTTATGAATCTGGCAAGTGACAATTTAACCAACATCAGCCTATTTGAAGAACATTGTGAAACTCTCCTTTGTGATTTAATAAGCCTGTCACTCAACAGGTACGACAAGGTAATGCTTTAAGAGTTTGTATTTTTGAGACTTAAAGACAGTATTCAGTCCTTAATGCATGTCGTTTAATCTGTAAGAATTTAAACTAAAATGCTTTATATGTTCTAATTTTATATTTAGTTGCTATTATCTGGGAGCTGAAAGGGAAAACAATTTTTATTTAAACATCTAAAAGAGGCTGGAATTGGTATTTTAGAGCTTTTCTTTTTTTCTTTTTTTTTTTTTTTTTAAGAAAAATAGCCTTTTCTATTTTGACAAAAATAAATAAATAAAAATGATGTTTACCGAAATCACTGGAAGCCTAATTTCTATCCAAATAGTAGAGGCCAGCTCTTTAATAATGTATTGTATTACTGTTGTGTAATAATAAAATAAATGCTTACTTAAAGTTACTTTACACATTTTAAGAGAGGATTTTCTTGCTTGTTTTCATAAAAGGTCTCGAATCTGGGTAAAATTATGTGTTTTTATTAAATTATGTTTATCATAGAGTGTTTAATGGAGACAGTGATTTAAAGGTGCTACAGAACATGTTTATTTTTAAGTAGTATAAATGTTTGTAGAGTATTATCTGTTATTTTAGATTACAAGCGTAAAGACTGTTTTTGGGAAATCAAGATTGAGGGAAAAGGAGTTTTATAATTTTTCAAAATTTAGATTTTTTTATGCATTATCAATATTTTTACAATTTAGTGTGTATGTGTATTAGTGGATTAACCAGATATGATAGAATAACTTTTAAATATTTATTTATTTTTGTTAATTGACAAAATTATACATATTTATCATATACATCATGTTTTGATATGTGTATACAGTGTAGAATGGCTAAATATAGCTAATTAGCATATGTATTATCTCACATTCTTATTTTTTGTGTGAGAACACTTAAAATCTATGCTTCTAGTGATTTTCAAGAATACAATATAGTACATTGTTTTTAACTGTAGTCATCATGTTGAGCTTATTCCCTTATCTAACTGAAATTTTATATGCTTTGATCAACATCTACCCCGCCTCCCTCCTAATCCTCCTCACAGCCCTTGGTAAGGATCATCTTACTCTGCTTCTATGAGTTCAGCTTTTTTAGATTCTACATATAAGTGAGATTATGTGTTACTTGTCTTTCTGTGCCTGGCTTATTTCACTTAATTTAATGTCCTCCAGGTTCATCCATATTGTTGCAAATGACAGCATTTCCATCTTCTCAAGGCTGAATAGTAGGGTCATACACTGTGTAACAAAGTTTTAGTCAGTGACAGACCACATATACAAGGTAGCTATACCACATAGCCTAGGTGTGCAGTAGTAGGCTGAAAAAGTTTAAGTACAATAAATCATGTTAGCCTAAAGACGTGCTTCTCAGAACATGTCCTGCTGTTAAGTGACACATGACTGTATTCCATTGTGTATATAAACCACATTTTCTTTATGCATTCATCTGTTGATGGACAATTTGGTTGATTCCATGTCTTGGCTCTTATAAATAATGCTGCAGTGAACATGGGAATGCAGATATCTCTTAAACATACTAATTTCATTTTCTTTGCAAATATACCTAGTAGGATTGCTGGATCATGTGGTAGTTCTATATTTAATTTTGTGAGGAATTTGCATACTGTATTACATGATGGCTGTACCAATTTACATTCTCACCAAACTGTGCAAGGGTTTTCTTGTCACCACTTCCTCTCTGGCGCTTATTATCTTTTGTCTTTTTGGTAATAGCCATTATAACAGGTTTGAGGTGATATCTTATCAAGTTTTAATTTGCATTTCCATAATGAGTAGTGACGTTGAGCATTTTTCATGTACTGCTTGCCCATTTGTATGTCTTCTTTTAAGAAATGTCAGCTAGGCGCGGTGGCTCACGCCTGTAATCCCAGCACTTTGGGAGGCCGAGGCAGGCAGATCACAAGGTCAGGAGATCGAGACCATCCTGGTTAACATGGTGAAACCCGTCTCTACTAAAAATACAAAAAATTAGCCGGGCATGGTGGTGCGTGCCTGTAGTCCCAGCTACTTGGGAGGCTGAGGCGGGAGAATTGCTTGAACCTGGGAGGCGCAGGTTGCAGTGTGCCAATATTGCGATATTGTGCCACTGCACTCCAGCCTGGCAACAGAGAGAGACTCTGCCTCAAAAAAAAAAAAAGAAAAAAGAAAACGTCTGTTTATATTTTTTGCCAATTTTGTAATTGGGTTGTTTTCTTGCTATTGAGTTGTTTGCGTTCCTTATATATTTAAAATACTAACCCCTTATCAGATGTATGGTTTGCAAATATTTTCTTCCATTCTCGAGATTTTCCCTTCATTCCGTTGATTTTTTTTCCTTTGCTTTGCAGATATTTCCTTTTTATTTTGATATAATCCCATTTGTCAGTTTTCATTTTCATGGCTTGTGCTTTTTGGGGTCATATCCAAGAAATCATTTACCAGACCATTGTCATATAGCTTTTCCCCTATGTTTTCTTCTAGTTTTATAGTTTCAGGTCTTACATTTAAGTCTTTAATTTATTTTGAGTTGATTTTTCTGTATGGTGTGAAACAAGGGCCTAAATTCATTCTGTATGTGGATATCCAGTTGTCCCAACCTGTTTATTGAAGAAGCTGTCCTTTCCCCGTGTCATGCTCTTTTCATCATTGTCAAAAATCAATTGTTCTGTTTTGTTCTGTGTCTGTTTGTGTGCTAGCAGCACACTGTTTTGATTACTGTAGCTTTGTAGTATATTTTGAAGTCAGGTAGTGTCATGCCTCGAGCTTTGTTCTTTTTTGCTAAAGATTGCTGGGTCTATTCAGGACCTTTTGTGATTTCCTACCAATTTTAGGATTGTTTTTTCTATTTCTGTAAAAAAGTGTCATTAAATATTTTGGTAGGGATTTCATTGAATCTGTAGGTCACTTTGGGTAGTATGGACATTTTAACAATATTTCTTCCAATCCATGACCACAAGATATTTTTTCTACTTACTTGTGTTGTATTCAGTTTCTTTCATCAGTGTTTTTTATTTTTCAGTGTATAGGCCTTTTACTCTTTGGTTAAATTTATCCCTAAGTATTTTTATTTTTGTAGGTATATACTATATATGGGATTGTTTTATTGATTTCTTTTTTGGATAGTTTGTTGTTATTGTATAGAAATGCTATGGTATTTTGTATGTTGATTTTTGTATCCTGCAACTTTACTGCATTTATTTATTCAAATAATTTTTGGTGATGTCTTTAGAGGTTTCTATATATAAAAGATCATGTTATCTACAAACAGCAACAATTTTAACATTTCTTTCTGTTTAGATGCCTTTTCTTTCTTTTGCATAATTGCTGTGGCTAGGATTTCTAGTAACATCCTAATACTTTTTTTTTAACTTTGTATTAGGTTAGAAAAGTGTACATAACTTACGTAAAATATTGCATACATTATTAATTTAAGAAGCCTAGCTATATTTGCAAATATAGTGTACATTCTGTGCATTATCTAGGGCTGCTGAGGATTTTTTTATTAAAAAAAGGTAGATAATTTAGAAATTACTGAATCTTTATAAATCCCTAATAACTGTATTCATTCTGTCTTGCAAAATTTTTACTCTGTTTACAGTGAATCAAAATTTATTTTCTAATCTTTTCATTAGAAGTCTTTTGTTGTAGATGACTCAGGGCAAAATAAGCAAACTAGCCCTGAGGTGTAATCTAGCCCATTACCTATTTTTGTAAATATAGTTTTACTGGGATATAACCAGGTCCATTTCTCTTACCAGGTATCTGCGGCTGTTGTACTGAAATGGCAGAGTTCAGTAGTTGTGACAGAGACTGTATTGACAACAGACTCTTAAATATGTCCTATCTGGCCCTTTATAGAAAAAGTTTGCTGGCTGGGCGAGGTGGCTCATGCCTGTAATCCTAGCACTTTGGGAGGCCGAGGCGGGTGTATCACGAGGTCAGGAGATCGAGACCATCCTGGCTAACACGGTGAAACCCCGTCTCTACTAAAAGTACAAAAAATTAGCCGGGCGTGGTGGTGGGCGCCTGTAGTCCCAGCTACTTGGGAGGCTGAGGCGGGAGAATGGCGTGAACCTGGGAGGCGGAGCTTGCAGTGAGCCAAGATCGCTCCACTGCACTCCAGCCTGGGTGACAGAGCGAGACTCCATCTCACAAAAAGAAAAAAAAAAGAGAAAGTTTGCTGACCACGGCACTAGATGATTAAAATTTTTTTTTAAGTTGAAATCAAATTAATCTGTGCTTTTTGTTTTAAAATGGAAATTTGTCTTAAAAGTTAAATGAAATTGCACATTTTCAATAAATAATTTTGTCTAATTGAGAATAAATTCTTAGTCATCTAAATCATTCTTTTAAAAGTATTTGAAAGATATATGGCATTTAAAATTCTGCTGCTGTCTTATAAATAACACATTTTGGTTATTTTCTATAGGTTAGGTCTTCTGAATCATTAATGAGTGACCAGTGTCCATGTTTATGCATTAAAGAATTATGGGTTCTACTTATTCATCTTCTAGACCACAGAAGTAAATGGTTTGTCTCGGAAGTAAGTTGGAAAATTGATGTGTTGGTTATTGTTACTAACCTTTATATTGATTTAATCCAATGGTTTTAACTGAGAAAAATCTTAACTTCCTTTTTTATAATAAGGCAATAATAACCACCAATAGAGCAATAACTGAGTACTGAATATCTACTTTATTTTTAACCCTAATTATTTTTAGCCCCAAGTTAGTAATATGAAAAATCTAAGAGCAGTACAAGGTTCAACCCTTACTTTTTTTCAAGTTTTGTTGTTGTTGTTCTATCAGAAATCTTTCAGACTAAGGTATTTACTACCCATTAGTAACCTAGAAAACATTTTAGTCAGGAAATACGGCAGATTTAGAAGATTTGTGGAGAAATAAAACAGGTTTCTATTACTCAATTTTATAGCAATTTCAAGGAGGGAGGAAGAGAAGCAGAAAAGGGAAGATGAGAAACTTTCACTTCATTTTCAGTCATGTCTTCAGAACAGGGCTTTATTTTATTTCAAGTGCTGTAGGTTATTGAAAAAGAGAAGTATCCTAGGCAGAAGTAAGTAAAACAGTCTGTTGTAAAACGGTATTAAAAATGGTTTATGTTATATGAAAGGGTACTTTTGATTTTTCATGGATTTTAAAATTTTCCAGTTTTCTGTAATTTGGGGTTTGGGTGCTGCTATCTTTTTTTTTTTTTTTTTTTGAGGCAGTCTTGCTCTGTTGCTCAGGCTAGAGTGCTCACTGCAGCCTCCACCTTGGCATGATCTCGGCTCACTGCAATCTCCGCCTCCCAGTTCAAGCAATTCTCGTGCCTTAGCATCCTGAGTAGCTAGGGTTACAGGCATGCACCACCGTGGCCAGCTAATTTTTGTATTTTTGGTAGAGATGGGGTTTTACCATGTTGCCCAGGCTGGTCTTGAACTCCTGACCTCAAGTGATCTGCCTGCCTTGGCCTCCCAAAGTGCTAGGATTACAGGCATGAGCCACCATGCCTGGCCTGCTATCTTTTTTTAATAACAACTCTATTTTTGTAGGTTTGCAAGTACTGTATTTATTTTGAATTATTATTTTAGCATCAAATAAATGTAAACTTAATATATTTTTGTTTATTGAGTAAAAAAATTTATTTTCATAACCTAGAGGCAGTTGCTGAATTGTGTAAATTTGAACTTTGGCTTTCAGGCATTAAGGGGTACAAGAATAGAAGATAAAGTTCAGAGTTTATCAAGTTGGTAGCCTACAACTACACCAGTTATCCATAAAACTGGGCACTCAGAAAGATGAAGTAGAAACTCAACTAGATTTGTAAGGAAAACTGACTGTCTTTAACTGTGGTGCTTTTCAGAAGTTTAAAATTGCGTCTGTGTGTTTTTTGTTGTATTCTAGCCCTTATGTGGGTTTACAGACTGAGTTCATGTTACCTAGATTTTATTAAAAATTTCAAACCATTGAGCCCAGGATATCGAGGATACAGTGAGCCAAGATTGTGCCACTGCACTCCAGCCTGGATGACAAAGCAAGACCCTCTCTTGAAAAAAGAAAAAAAAATTTCAAGGCATTGAATTCTGGGTAGCCAAGAAAAATGGATGGATGCCTAAACCCACATCTCCCTACATAACCTTCCAACAAAATATAGAACAGCAAAATCAAATATATCTACTGTTGACTCTTGAACAATGTGGGAGTTAGGGATGCTGACCGTCCCCCCAACATGCAGTCAGAAAACTGCATGTAACTTTTGACTTCCCCAAAAAACCATTGGTGGCCTACTATTGACTGCAATCCTTACCCATAACATAAAGAAACAATTAACATGTATTTTGTATGTTGTATGTATTATATACATGATAAACTAGAGAAAATAAATGTTAAGAAAACCATAAGAGAATATATATTTACTTCTCATTAAGTGGAAGTAGGTCACCATGAAGGTCTTCATCCTCATCTTCATGTTGAGTAGGCTAAGGAGGAGGAGGAAGAAGAGGAGGGGTTGGTCTTGCTGTCTTCGGGGTGGTAGAGATGGAAGAAAATCCATGTATAAGCGCACCCATGCATTTCAAACCCGTGTTGTTCAAACGTCAGCTGTATACAAAAACATACGTATTATATAACTGCAAATGGGAGTGCTTAGTACTGTCAGTTTTAAAAACAGAAAACCTCTAAAGCTCTTACCACGAGCCTTTCTAGCAAGGCAGGGCAGTCTGAGAAAAACTACTCTGAGAAGAGAACTAACAGTGGTTATAAAACTGCTTTAAAATCATTGCCAGAATGTGAAGATACTGAAAAAGTTTTCTTGTAGATCGGAGAACTGATAAGAAAGAAACATAAAAGTGTCCACATGACATGGAGTTTCTGTAGAAGGCAAAAATGAATCATGGTACCCATTGGTGATTGGGTGGTGAAGGGCACCAGAAGAGAAAGCAGAAAATTTAGGGTCTTAAAACACCACCACCAAAAAAAGAATAAATCAAAGGACTCATACCCTCTCCCACCACCAAAAAAAAAGAAGAAAGAAAAGGAAAGGAAATTCAGTAAAGAAATGGGACTTTGGTGCATTGTCAAAAGAAGGTAACCCTGAATTAAGAATCTTTTAAGCTAATCCTAATCTACAAAATGAATGGAATGAAACTAGACCATTATAAACTTACTAGAAGAAAACAGATTTGATAACACTTTAGTTGATGGTACCCTCTCCCCCAGAAACAACCATAAAACAGAAGAAACTGACAACACTGTAGATTGAATTAGTTTGTCTGTTCAGACTACATCTGGGAGTATAGAAAAACACCTTGAATAAGATACTCAAATGTTAAAAACAAATGGACAGAAAACCGGGGATGGATGGAAAGAATACATTCAATGCAGGAAAGAAATAGGAAGAGGAAAATTATATCCGTATTGACTAAATTACAACATGACTGAGGGAGAATAGACTTAAATGAAAATTTAATAAGGGGCATAGAAGAAAGGTTGAAAACAACTAAGGGAATAAAAATGAGATAAATATGAAGAGAGTGAGAAAATGGTTGAGATGGAAGGTAGGCAAGGAGGAAATAACTGTACATATAAATGCAATCCCTAGAGAAGAAAACAGTGTGATATAGCTAATATTAAAAACTATAATCAAAGGAAACTTCCCAGAAATAAAAGATCTAAATCTACGTATTGAAAGGGTCTGCTGGATAATTTGAAAGATTAACCCCAAGCAATCCACCCGAAGACAAGTCTTACTAAAACTGTTTCACTTTAAACATAAAGGAAAAAATCTCCAAGTCCTCTAGGCACAAAGACCAAACAACTTATAAGAGCAAAATAATTTTATTGGCACTAGACTTGCAAAGTCAACTTAAAACAAGGCCTCAATGCAGCATTTAAAATGACTCAATGAAAAAGTGTGAGCCAAGGATTTTGTAACTTTGACCCTAGCAATCCCACTTCCAGGAATTTACTCTAAATGTGTACCCTCCAAAATTAAAATGCATATGCATACGTTTATTTATTGCAGTATTGTTTTTATAATAGTATAGTAGAAACTAAATTCTTATATATAAAAGAGTAGTTGAACAAACCATGGTATATCTGTACTCTGAAGTATTATTCTGTATTAGTGTGTGTTCTCCAGAGAAACAGCCAATAGGATATATAGATATATATATATATATAAGATTTATTATAATGAATTGGCTCGCAGAGTTATGGAGGCCAAGAAGTCCCGAATCTGAGGTTGGCAAGCTGAAGACCCAGAGGAGCTGATGGTATAGTTTCCAGTCTCAGTCCAAAGGTCTGCAAACCAGGAAAGCCAATGGTGTAATTTCCAGTCTGAGTCCAAGTCTGAAGGCAGGAAAAGAACAGTGTTTCAGTATGAAGCACAGGGAGTCTTCTCTACCCTCGGAGGACTTTTTGTTGTATTCAGGCCACTAATTGATTGGATGGCACCCACCCATATTAGAGAGGGCCATCTCTTTACTCAGCCTACCAATTAAAATGTAACTCTCAACGAGAAAACCTTTATAGACACACTCAGAATAATATTTAACCAAATATCTTGGCATCCTGTGGCCTGTTCAAGTTGACACATAAAATTAACCATTCTATTTGTAGTTGTACAATAGAATGAGGAAGATATCTGAACTGATACGGAGTGAGTTGCAGAATGTATTGTTAAATGATAGAAATAAAGTTCAAAACTATAGGATGATGTTACCTTTTGTATAAGAAATTAGGAAAAAGGCAATGTGTGTGTGTGTATATATATGTGTTCAATTGTGCACAAATAAATACTGGAAAGACAAACTATTGAGATTGGTGGGTAAAAATAAAGATGGGTGGGTGAAAATGGAGTGGAAGGGTTTGATGTAATTATTTGGGTAGTTCTGACTTTAGAATCGTGTTAATGTTCCACATGCCCTAAAATTAAATCAATCTGTATGAAAGGTGCACTCAATGGAATATAACAGAAACAACTGAACTTAAATGTATTTTAAATGAATAACACTCTTTGAGGGGATTGGCAATGTTAACCCAGGTAACTTAAGAATGTACTATTTTGACACTATACTATAAGGCTAAAGACAATCATAAAGAATTGTAAATACTTAGGAGATTTGTTTTTTACATTGTTATGTGAGGATTAGCAATTTTAAATCTATTATATTTGTATTCTTGGACTGGACAAATTAATAAATACATTGTGGGTAATTGGAGTCAGGTTTGTCTGTGTTGGGGAATTGAGTTACACATATGGAAAGAAGGAAAGCCAGCATGAAGCACATTATGTTGGATTAGAATTTGTTATAGTATGCAATACTTCTTTTTAATATATAGGACTATATATAAATGTATATGTGTGTGTGTGCATACCTCCATTTCCTACCTTTTTCACTGGGTGGGCTTACAAGCAATGATACTGAGTAACAATATACACATTGCAGCTATATCTTAGTTTCAAAATAACCATTCTGTAGTGAAAGGAAACGAGTCTTTGAACAAATGGCTGATTACAGGATGAAGCATGGAAAGTAAACATGAGCCTGAAACATCTTGTACCAGAAACTAAGGAAGTGCTCAAAAAATGATGAGTACATGTCAGAAGGACATGAGAGTCAGCCTTAAGGTCTATAGGCTAAAATAGCTTTATTTTACCTCACTTTTTAAAGATATTAATAGGTAAAGAATTTTAGGTTGACAAATACTGTTTTGATACAATAAGGATATCATCCCACTGGCCTCCATTGCTGTTGAGCTACAAAATAGTAAGGGATTGTAATCTGTTCACTAGGAATCTGTGAGTCCCTACTGATATAAACAAATTGGGAAAAGGGAAGCTCTTCCTAATAGATGTAGAGTCATGATGGAATTAGAAAATCACCATTTGACAACCTCCATGGTAATTGTTTCAGGCAAGAATCCTCAATGGATGCTTAAAGTAGTGGACAAAACTGATGAAAAACAGCACATTTACATAGTTTGTTAAGATCTTTACATAATATTTATCAATTATAAAAGGGAAAATAATAACTTTATAGTACAGAAAATGTGGCAGGTACTACCTTAACCAAGCAATCAAAGTTAACTAGTAATAGGACAGATTGATATCATGTACCATCAATATGATGCCTTGAAAGAACAAAAATAGACCAGGTGTGGTGGCTCATGCCTGTAACCCCAGCACTTTGGGAGTCCTAGGTGAGAGGATTGCTTGAGCCCAGGAGTTCAAGACTGGGCAACATAGAGACGTAATCTTTACAAAAAATAAACAAGATTACCTATGTGTGGTGGTGGCATGCCTGTGGTCCCAGCTACTTGGGAGGCTGAGGTGGGATGATCACTTGAGCCCAGAATTTTGCACCAGTGCCCTGTAGCCTGGGCAACAGAGTGAGACCCTCTCCCCCCACAAAAAAAGAATAAAATGTGTAATGTCAGACAAACCTGAAAAACTGGTATACTCTAAAAATATCAAGGTTATGAGTGGTATAGTCTGAGGAACGCTTACAGATTAAAGTAAGCTGAAGAAACATTAAATGATGGGATAGCTAAATGCACCTTATGATTGCTGCATAATGGTATAGTAGGCTAATTTTGAATAAGATCTGTTATGCATAATATAACAAAAGATGGAAAACATGAAAGAGTGGTTAAGAGACATTAAGAATAGAGAGGATGTCTGATATACTTCTAACTATAGTTAAAAAGGAAGTGGAACAACAAAAATATTTGAAGAAAAAATGACTTGAAAATTTTCAAATGTTAGTGAAAGCTAATCAGATAAATTCAGTGCACCCACATAGGGTAAATAAAAAGAAAAAACACACCCAGATAACATCACAGTGGAATCACAGAAGACCAAAGACAAAGAGAAGAAATTTAAAGCATCTTACAGAAAAATGTGTTACTTTATTTTATTTATTTTTTTAAGAGAGAAGGTCTCACTGTGTCACCCAGTCTGGAGTGCAGTAGTGTGGTCACAGCTCACTGCAGCCTCAACCTGTTGAACTCAAGTGATCCTCCTGTCTCAGACTCCTTAGTAGCTGGGAGTACAAGCACATGCCACCACACCTGGCTAATTTATTTTTTGTAGAGACAGGGTCTCACTGGTCTGCCCAGGTTGGTCTCGAACACCTGACCTCAAGCAGTCCTTCTGCCTTGCCCTCCCAAAGTGTTATGATTACAGGTGTGAGCTGCCACAGCTGGCCAATATAGTACCACTAAAAGAGTGACAATTGGGCAGCTGACTTTTCAACAACAATGGAGGCCAGTGGGAATGATATCCTTATTGTATCAAAACAATATTTGTCAACCTAAAATTCTTTACCTATTAATATCTTTAAAAAGTGAGGTAAAATAAAGCTATTTTCATTGAAGCAAAATTGAAGAGAATCCTGAAGGATATTTAGGCAGAAGAATGGTGATGCCAAAATGGGAATTCTGACATGTAGAAGGAATAAAGAGCAAAGAAAGTGGTACATGTTTTGTATAAATCAGTAATATAATTTATTGGAATTAAAAAACGGCTAAAGCACATAGTAATAGTACCATCTAAAGTGAGTAGGACATAAATGAGCTACTCTTTTAAGGTTCTTGTTTGCTCTAAGAGAAAGGTCTATGTTAATTTACCAAGACATTTGGATGTGTAATGTTTATTTCTAAGATCATCACTGAAAGAAGAAAAGTAGACTTTTTAACTTCCAAGCAGGTAGAGGGGGAAAAAATTAATATTCAACCCCAGAGAAGGAGGTGTTGATGGATACAGTAGGTATACAAATAGAAATATGGAATAAGATTGTAGATTTAAAACTAAATATATTAGTCATTATATTACCTGCAATGGTACTACTAAAAGCTCCATTTAAAAGACATATTGTCAGGATATATTCTAAAACAGAATATATCAAGGTTCAAAATTGATAGAAAAGATACAAGAAAGTGACGTATTAAACAAATATTGGAAAAATTTTGACTTTAAAACAAAAAAGCATTAAGTTGTTTTATAGTGATGAAAGGTTTACTTTATCAGGGATAAATTTAAATTTGCATGTGGCTAATAACATGGTGTTAACCGTAGCAATTTAAAATGGACAGATTTTCAAGGAGAAATACACATGCATAGAAATAATGAAATATATTTCTAAATAACTCATAAGTTAAAGAAGAGATGATGGAAATTAGAAAATATTCCAAAGTAAATAACATTCTGTAAACTAAAGTTTTGGGACTACAGCTAAAAGTTATAATTAGAGGGAAATTTGTAACTGTATATGCAAATACAGGAAAAAAGAAAGATTGCAAATGAACTAATAATTTATCTCAAGATGTTAGCAATAAGCCCTTCATAGTAAATCCAAAGAAGGTAAAAGGAATGAAATTATAAAAATAACAAAAAATTATGAATTTAAAACAATGAAAAGGATAAAATGAGCAAAAGTTGGTTCCTCAAATTGATACCTAAAATTGGCCAATGTTACTTAAGATGGTTACAAAAATACTCAATACTAGAAATATAAAAAGGAACATGACTTCAGTTTCTGTATACATTAGAAAGGTAAGAGATACTGTCGACAACTTTATGTCTAATAACTTGAACATTTACATGAAATACCTAGAAAAACCTAAAACTCACTAAATGTTCTGCAATAGTAGATTGAATAAATGTTTTATCATATAGTCATATACTGGAATATTGCAATAAGCTATGGCAGTTTTCATTAATATAGATGAGTTCATCAGAAACGCAGCATTGACCAAAGAAGCAAGTTACAAAAGAATTAGAAACAAGCCGCTTGAGAATACAGACATGCATTTAAAAAAAACAAAATACAGATGAAGCCACACAATATATAATATAGGCTGGTATACCTGTGTGGCGAAACAAAAAAGCAAGGAAATGATTTATCATGAAAGTCAGCAAAATTGTTAACTACTGGATGGAGGAGGAAGATGTGGTGACCTGTAAGGTACTTCTAAAGTACTATTTATGTTCTGATTCTTAACCTGGGCATTTTTATTATTTCAGTTTTATATATGTGTTTTGTCTTTTGTATATATGCTTCATTATAAAAATAGAGAAAAACCACGAAATCAAAGGTTATTGAAACTGTCTTAATGGAATCAAATTACTTCTGTTTCTATAGTCATTTTGGAACTGGTTGAATAAACTACTTAAAACACTGCTTGAAAAATCAAGTGACCGAAGAAGATCCTCTATGCCTGTAATCCAGTCCAGGGATCCATTAGGTTTTAGTTGGTGGATTATTACTCATGTAGCATCATTTTACAAGTTTGATCGCCATGGAGTACCAGATGAAATGGTAAGACTTCATTTTTTAAAAACTTTCTTATATTGTCAATTAATATGTAATTATTTGGACAAATTAGAAAATAAGTGAGCAGAAACAAGAAAAGTCAGACTACAATCACAGAGATAAATTATTTATGTATAATGTTTCTGTAAACATCTTGAAAAATTATAAAGTTTATGTTTTAATTGTTTAATTAAAAAAAATTACTTGTAGAAGATTTGGTATGTAGTCCTGGCCCTGCTACTGAACAATTGTGTGACCCTGAGCAAATTACTTAAACCTTTCTAGCTTTGTCTTCCGTTAACAAAAAATCATGGGATTGGATTGTCACAAAGATTCCTTCTAGTTTTAAAATCTATTATGATTGGCAAAGAAATTTCTCGAGGAATGAATTACTTATTTTTGTGAATAATTTAATAAAAGTACTTCAGAATAGCACTTCTTTAGTGAAGCTTTTTGCTAAGATAACTTATTAAACAACCATGAAGTTTGCTTCAAATACAAAGAGATTTTAACTAGTATATTAATTTCTCATTAGAAACATTTTTTACAGTGTTACTTAAAAACCCTATGAATAAAATCAGCTAACAGATGTTTACTTTGAAGCCCTATTTTTATACAATTTCTACCATATTCAGAAATTAATAGTATTGTATTATTGTATCAGCCTATCAGCTCCATAAAATAAGCATCTAGAATCATGAAGCCAACTTGTCTATATTTTCAAAATTGCCATTTTTTATGGCAGTGGTTACCAAACCTGGCTGATCATTAGACTTGTGAGTTTTAAAAAATCCAGGTATCTAGTCCAGCTGCAGTGGCTCATGCCTATAATCCCAGCACTTTGGAAGGCCAAGGCGGGTGGATCACTTGAGATCAGGAGTTTGACATCAGCCTGGCCAATGTGGTGAAACCCTGTCTTTACTAAAAATACAGAAATTAGCAGGGCATGGTGACGCACACCTGTAGTCCCAGGTACTTGGGAGACGGAGACAGGAGAATTGCTTGAACCCGGAGACGGAGTTTGCGGTGAGCCGAGATCACACCACTGCACTCCAGACTGGGCAACAGAGTGAGACACCATCCAAAAAAAAAAAAAAAAAAAATCCAGATACCTAGATCTTAACTCTGGAGGTCCTGATTTGGAGTTTGGAAATCCTGATTTTTAAAAAGTTCCTTGGTTCTCATCCTCTACGAGGTATGGGAGCCATTGCTTTATGAAACATATTCTTTAATAGGCTTGATAGATTTTCCTCTTTGGAATATTGGATAGACCCAGCTTTGAGAAGTCATCCATGGAATCTGAGGGTTAGTTAGTATTAATATAGCATCATAGAAATGGAAAGGGTCTCAAAAAGTCCTCTAAATAATCCCCGTAATAATAAAAGGTCCTGTAGGAGATCCCAGAATATAGTGAAATAGTCAGAAATTGCTCTGAGAAGTTCACACACGGCCCAGTATCAGTGTATTTGAGTATTCTACCAATTTATTGAGAAAAGTCAATGAACTTCTCACAGAAAAGAATTGTATGTTTTTTGTTTGTATCCATGATTATTTACCATGCTAATACAGAGTAAATAATAAATTTTAGCAATTGCCATTATTACTATAGTAGTGCTTTTATTAAGTGTTTTTGTGGAGTTAATGTGATTTCACATCTTTTAATTATTAGAATATTAGAACTATATTAAAGGAACTAAGAAAATTTACCTGTAATTCTAAGGTCGTAATATAAGCATTTGCATTTTTCTTCCTCTCCAACTTTAGTTCCTCCAAGTATATATTTCTCATTTTAATCAATGTAAGTAAGTATGGCAATTAGTTAAGTGTTTCTGAGTTTCTGTTGTGTATTTGCATAATATTAGGTGCCTATCAGAGAATACACATGAAATAGATTGTACTACTTTTTTTTTTTTTTTTTGAGATGGAGTCTCACTCTGTCACCCAGGCTGGAGTATAATGGCGTGATCTCGGCTTACTGCAAACTCTGCCTCACGGGTTCAGGTGATTCTCCTGCCTCAGCCTCCCGAGTAGCTGGGATTACAGGTACACACCACCACGCCCAGCTAATTTTTGTATTTTTAGTAGAGATGGGGTTTCACCATGTTGGCCAGGCTGGTTTCGAACTCCTGACCTCGGTTAATCTGCCTACCTCAGTTAATCTGCCTGCCTCGGCCTCCCAAAAGTGCTGGGATTACAGGTGTGAGCCACCGCACCCTGCCAGATTGTACTACTTCTTGCTTCAAGGAACATGCTTTTAGGTTATTAAAAACTTGTTGGAACTGTATTAACACTTTTTTGAGTGCGTAGTATATTTTAATATTAGTTGATATTGACCCCGCCAGATATTCTCAGTGTGGTAGGCAATCTAGTCACATTAGGATATATTGTTGCCATTGCTATTGTAATATGGAATTGCAGTGATATAACCACCTATGGTTGCAGTGCTGAAGTCACTCTTCTATTTCTTTTTTTTTTTTTTTGAGATGGAGTCTCGCTCTGTCGCCCAGGCTGGAGTGCAGTGGCGCAGTCTTGGCTTACTGCAAGCTCCGCCTCCCGGGTTCATGCCATTCTCCTGCCTCTGCCTCCTGAGTAGTTGGGACTACAGGTGCCGGCCACCACGCCTGGCTAATTTTTTGTATTTTTCGTAGAAACGGGGTTTCACTGTGTTAGACAGGATAGTCTTGATCTTCTGACCTCGTGATCCGCCCGCTTCGGCCTCTCAAAGTGCTGGGATTACAGGCGTGAGCCACCGTACCTAGCCCTACCCTTCCATTTCATACAGAGAACTCCAGAGGAGATTATTGCTTTTATTAGCTCTGAATCAAGATAGTAAATGAATTGTCTGTGTTTAAAATAGCTTAACTTGCGTCTTTTAATATTTGTCAGCAGTTCCTGATTTTCTTTTGCCACGATTTTAAAAAATCACATATTTTATGTAGAAGGTTTTAAAAGAAAAGGCTGTGATAATTAATAGAAAAAGGATATGATAAAAATGATGAGGATGTGTAATATATATGTGTATATGCACATGTAAAATAAACTTTGCCTTTATATATGAGTCCTCAAAGAGTTTATTTCTGGATTTCCTAAAGGTTTTTAAAGAAAAGCTCTCTAGTTAATAATAGTTTTCATTAGGGGTAAAATATGTGCTGCATTTGCAACATATTTAGTATTTCACAGTGACTGTGTATTATCTCAGTGAAATATTTTAAAGTAGGTGAGAGGGTAATATATTCATTTTACAGGTAAAGAAATTGAGATACACAGTGGTTAAATATCACCCTATTTTATCTCTTAGATAAACTTGATATTAGATTTCTCCTAAGGATTGCCTCTTACGAATAGGTCTTTGGTAGGGTAACCATGTGTTCCATTTTGCCAGGTACAGACAGTCCCACTTTATACCTTATTATCTATTCATCCTAACTGGTTAATTTTTGCTTTTATCCTCAAAGTGTTTCAGCTTAATTGACAAATCAGATAGTCATTCTAATCCATGAACATAAAGGCATATTGACGTATTGTTTCTGAGAGATTATATAAGATGTTAGTTTGGGTCTGGAATCTGTTTAGAATTTTGAAAATTTTTTTTTCTCCTTATGATATATTAACATAAGCAACTACAATAGAGAAAATGGTTGTGCAGTAAGCATGCTTTATTCTACTAACAAGTAATCTGGAGTGAGAGATGATATGAAGTAATAATGGCTAGTCATGTGTTCTTCACCAGAGAAATATCTATAATCTTGTGGCAGTGTGGCGATGTTTCAGTTTTTAAACGTGAACTGCTTTGCCCTGAAGGTTAATGTGAAATCTTTACATTTTAAATAGGTTTAAAATGTAAACCTGTAGTGGATTTAAATCACAAAGCTATAATGGATTTAACTCACAAAGCTAGCCAATTTCTTAGTGTAGGCCTGTAAGAAAAATCTGGTATCTCACTTTTTATATTAGAGTCATTAGATTTTCTTACGTTTCTGTTTAATGCTTTTCTCTCAGACAAGATGAGAGTGGGTTACTCTCTCACGATTCTAGTCATCTATTTTAAAACCAAATACAGTTTAAAGAGGAAAATTACTTCTGGGCATTGCAAGGGGTCAGTTTTAACAGTGTTTTCTGTACCCAGAACATAATGCAATTAGTCAGGCTAGCTGATGCTCGTCTTTGAATCGTCTGAAATAGTAACCAGATAAAAGTGTGAAATGTAACCTTAAAATGAGAGTTGCACCAGACTACCTAGTCTGCTGGAAGTGGAGGGTGGAGAATCTGTTCTACATATCTGGTAGAGATCCTACCTATACTAACGTTTAAATGGGTATCTTAGTTTTAATGCTGAAATAAGAAATATAAAATGTAGCCTCAAATTGATGACATCCTACCTGCTTTCTATCAGCAGATTTAACTTGGTATGTAGAAAAAAAAATGCTGTAGCTGCCCAAAGTGAAATTTTATTGTGGAAGAAAAATCTATATCTCTTTGATACATATTCTCTTACCCTTGATTTGGGTATGACATAGTTGTCATTCTTTTCTTTGAATTACAGTTTATTTTTGTTTTAGATTATAGCCACAAAACTGATTTATATAGTTGAAATTCTTTGGGTGAGAATTACAGTTTTTCTGTAATTCTTGTGATTCAAATGCTTTGATAACACAGAATGATTGAAATATACTCAACACTATCCAGTTATAAAGCTAAAACTTAAATTATATCAACCCTGTCATGGCCCTTCTCACTTGGCACTGGAGGTGACATTTTCTTAATAAAGAATGATACAAAAATGAATTGCTGAAATCTGAGGGAAGGCATGTTAGGTAAAAAAAAAAAAAAAAAAAAATTGGTTATTGGTACGTGTTATAATAGAAGAAATACAGGCTTTGGTGCCAGATAACCTTGGATTTGAATTCATTCTTTGATTTGTACATACATGACCTTTCTGAGACTTAATTATGTTTTCTGTGAAATGGGGAAATTTTTTTGAGGAAGCACTATGTCAAGAACGTAACACAGTAGACATACAGTATTGATAGAAGAAAATGAGCTTTTTTTGAGAGACTTTTAGGGCCAACTACCAAGTTTCAGGGGACAGTCCCTAAAACTGTCTTTACTTCTGACACCAGTTGCAAGCTCAGGGTTCCCAAAACGACCTTAGGTTTGATAATTTGTTAGGACTCACAGAACTCACTGAAAGCTATTATTTTGTTTTCTTAAAGGGGAAGGATATAAATTAACATCAGCCAAGGGAAGAAGGGCATAGGCCAGAGTCCAGAAGTACCAAATGTGGAACTTCTATTGTTTTCTCTTAATGGAGTCAGGCCACGTTCTTCTCCTGGCATCAGTGTGTGACAGTATGCAGGGAGTGTTGCAAAACGGGTGCCCACTCAAGCCTCAATGTTCATAATTTTTATGGGAGTTCCATTATGTAGGGGTGGACTACTGAATTGCTCACGTGGCTGATTTCAGTTTCCAAGTCAACTGACTCAAAGCCCCCAGCCTGAGACTATTGTTGCTCTTTGGGTGTGACCAGGCCCTAAGCTAAGACTATGTGGGTGTGTCCAGCCTTCACTCTCTATCACATAGTTAGATTATCCAGTATGACCATAGGACCCTAGTCAAAGATGCTACTATCAGGCATAACATTCCCAGGGCCCAGAGATGACCTCCAGGAAGCTATGGGCAAAGGTCAGATCTTTTTTTTTTTTTTGAGACAAAGTCTCCCTCTGTTGCCCAGACTGGAGTGCAATGGCACGATCTCTGCTCACTGCAACCTCTGCCTCCTGGGTTCAAGCGATTCTCCTGCCTCAACCTCCCTAGTAGCTGAGATTACAGGCACGCACCACCACACCCTCCTAATTTTTGTATTTTAGTAGAGACGGGGTTTCACCATGTTGGCCAGGCTGGTCTTGAACTCCTGACCTCAAGTGATCTGCCTGCTTCGGCCTCCCAAAGTGCTGGGATTACAGGAGTGAGCCCAGCAGGCCAGATCTTTTCTTTGGGCAAGGCCAAATTCTTTACTCCACATTTTCTCCCAATAAATGCTTTTTTGCATTCATTTTATTTGTGTATGTCAAAAAGTCAACAATTTTGCTAAAAATAACTAAATCATTGTATTAGTAATCTATTGCTGTGTCACAAAAGTATCAGCTTAAAACAAACATTTATTATCTCACACTCTCAATTTCTGAGAATCAGGCATTCAGGAGAAGCTTAGCTGGGTGGTTCTAGCTCAGGGTCTCTCATGAGGTTGCAGTGAAGCTATCAGCCAGGGCTTCAGTATCTGAAGATTTAACTGGAACTGCAGAATTTGCTTTCAGCTTTACTTTAGTTGGCACAGTGCTTCAGTTTCTCATCATATGTGCTGTTCACAATATAGCTGTTTCCAGATCAAGTTAACAGATCAGAGTGTCATAAAGATGGAAGCTTCAGTGTCTTGTAACCTATTCTTGGAGGTGACATACTATCACTTATATTGGTATTGGTAGTCTGTTAGTGACCAACCCTCGTACAGTGTGAGAGGGAATTGTAGAAAGCATAAATTCCAGGAGACAAAGGTCACTGGGGGACATCTTAGAGGCTGACTACCATACTCACTGTGCTCTTTATTAAGAAAATATTGATTTACTGATTTACTGTATTTAGCATTTTACATGAATATTGCCTAGCCATTTAAAATCATGAGAATTCATTATGCTTTAACACTTTATTGATCATTTGAGTTCATGCCTCTGAACAGCATATTCTTTATAACAGGGATAAGAAGGGTATGATGAAGGTCTTTCTTTTACTTTTTAAGGCCTCAGGTTTTGCTTTTTGAGGTCTTATGATTACTTTTCTTTTTTTTTTCTGAGACGAAGTCTTGTTCTGTCACCCAGGCTAGAGCGCAGTGGCATGATCTTGGCTCACTACAACCTACACCTCCTGGGTTCACACCATTCTCCTGCCTCAGCCTCCCGGGTAGCTGGGATACAGGCACCCGCCACCATGCCCGGCTAATTTTTGTATTTTTAGTAGAGACGGGGTTTCACCATGTTAGCCAGGCTGGTTTCCAACTCGTGATCCACCTGCCTTGGCCTCCCAAAGTGCTGGGATTATAGGTGTGAGCCATCGCTCCTGGCCATGATTACTTTTTATACCGTTTTTTTCCCTTCCACATTAGAAGCTGGTTATTACTTGCTTATTCTTTAAAATGCTTTCTTTGCTTTTGGTTTTGTCCAGTATCCACATATCCAGAACTTTAAGAACTGAATATTAAGTGAACTGAGTATCCTGTGAGAATGTCTTCCAGGCTTTCCTTTTGGAAATGTGGAATTGTTTTAAGTGCCTACCTAGCCTTTGTGAAAGTCCTTTTTAGCTTTCTTCCTTATGGAAATCATTCTAGATAGTCGAGGTTGTCAATTTATTTTCTGTATAAAATTTTTAGTTACTTTGTTTACTAAAGTAGATGGTCTCAGGTTTGTTATTCACAAAATGAAGGAAAAAGCTCTAGTGATTAAAGTGGAAAATAGGGATGATTACTCAGCATAAAAAAAAAAACAAACACCAAAAATACATGTGGCTATATAATTTTTTTTTTTTCCTGTTGGATTTTGTATCTGAAAGCAGAAATTAAATATTTGGTAGAATATTTATAATCTTACTGAAGCACCACTGTTACAACTCCTGATATGGTTTGTATTGGATTGGAATAGTTGTACATTTTTTTCTGCCAAGTTTGTTAACTCTTTACCAAAGGAATATTAGAAATTCAAGAAATCACATTGATGCTGAATGATAGAGGAAAATGTACTGCACACTTAATTTGCTATACCCTAATTTTAAATATAGGCATAATCAAGAGCAATAATTTTGATGCACTATTTTCTCCCTTTCTAGAGAAAAGTGGAATCAAATTGGAACTTTGTAGAAGAACTGCTGAAAAAGTCCATCAGTGTTCAGGTATGCAATTAAAGTAAGACAGTTTGTGGATTTTGCTTAATTTTTATGTTACAAATTTTATTTTTAAAACCAAGCAAGCTGTTAAAATGATTCAGAAAACAAATAACTTTCATGCTTTGAAGGGTTAACTCACAGTAGTTTCTTTTAGTGATTATTCTTTAAAGATTTTTAACACTAAGTTGTCAGTTAAAGGACAATAATATCCTAGTTGATGACTTTGACAAAATGTATTCAAAATAAGTGGTAGATGCTTCAGAACTGTATGCCATTCCTTGACTGTATGATATCAAACTAGGTGACACAATGAGGGAGATAGTCATTGGCATTGAAAATTCAGCTATATCCTCATCACAGCAGGAAGGTGACTTGCCTTGCTGAGCAATTTGTCTTACAGGCTTGAATCATATTCTAACTGATAAGGTCCTAGTTTCTGACCATTCGTTTCATACCTTATCATTTTTCTTTCTGCAGAGCTGTTAATGTAGTGCTTCATGGCCTAGAGGTCAGACTTGACCTCCTTTTAAAATAGTTTTAAACATGCTGTTCATCACATTTTTAAACATATTGTATGGAAGCCCTGTAAAGTTTTGTAATATGTTATCATTTTTGTAAGAGTTTATGGAGAATTATAATAAATAATATTTTGGAATTTGGGAAATATTTTTCTTTTAAGAAATAAAGATTATTTAAAACTTGAAGAGGAATAAAAAATATTGTAGTATAATATTGCTTTATATGTGTGTGTGTGTGTGTGTGTGTGTGTGTGTGTGTGTGTGTCTGTAGTAGCTATGTCTTTGGAAAAATTTTAATTGCTTGAAATTTTCTTTTACCCATTATCTGCATTAACTCTTACTTTTTTAGGAAACATAAAGGCATTTAGTTATAATATGAATCACATAATTATGAACTAAAAATTTTAGCTTAGAATGCCAAAGAATTCTGCATACATAAATTGGATCAGAAACAAATCTATTATCTTTTTATAATCTTTCCCATAATCCCTGTAAAAGTTTTGTTTATTGTATTTTGTCCTATATCATGTTCATTGGTTGTCCTCATTTTTTTTGAGAACATATTGATTTAGTAACTTAAAAAGTTTTTTATGTATATTTTTTATTTCAGAATGAAGGGAATTACTAAAAAGTGGTTGTGAAATAAGATGCATATTACAGTGGCCATTGTCATTTGTATCAGTTACTAATTCAGTCTTAATGCTTTAACCAAATCCAGAGAATTTCAGTAAAGTCTGGATAACATTATTATTCTATTGGGAGTTACTGAATCTGAGTCAGTAACTAGGGGTTTAATTTTCAGTTAGGTTGTAACTGCTTGTGTTCTTTAAATTGCTTTCTCATTGACCCATGTTTCTGTTGTATTTAATAATTTTTAAACTCCCTTTCAGCTCTAACAGTGTATGAATTTATGGTTTTGCACTCAGCTGGTTTTAAGTTACAGAATATTTCTTAAGAAGCTTTAAAGGTTTATATGGATAAATATATATATTATATATATTTACATAGATCTCAGCCCTGCACACCAGAGGCCTGGATATAAATTCAGCTCTGTTGGCTGTTGAGGGAGCATAGCGGGAGTGAGACTGACCTTGCTGGCTGCATGGGAGCTGGGTGAGGCCTGCCACTGCCAGCTTTCCCCCACTTCTCTGGAGACCTTTATGAAGCAGCAGAGGCAGCCATAATTCCCCTTCGAACATAATTTCGTAGCCCTGAGAACTGCCCCCGCCCATACCCACTCCACAGTGGTCGCATCAAGCCCTGCCCAAGGAGAGTCTGAGCTCAGCCATGCCTAACCATTCCCCCATCTTATGGTTTGTATTAGGGTTCTCTAGAGGGACAGAACTAATATATATGGGAGTTTATTAAGGAGTATTAACTCACATGATCACAAGGTCCTACAATTGGCCACCTGCAAGCTGAGGAGCAAGGAATCCAGTCCAGGTCTCAAAGCTGAAGAACTTGGTGTCCAATGTTTGAGAGCAGGAAGCATCCAGCACGGGAGAAAAATGTAGGATGTGAGACTAAGCCAGTCTAGTCTTTTCATGTTCTTCTGCCTGCTCTTTATTCTGGCTGAGCTGACAGCTGATTAGATTGTGCCCACTTAGATTAAGGGTGGGTCTGCTTTTCCCAGCCCACTGACTCAAATGTTAATCTGCTTTGGCAGCACCCTCACAGACACACCCAGGATCAATACTGCATTCTTCAATCCAACCAAGTTGACACTCAGTATTAACTATCAACAGTCTTTCTCTACCCACCTGGTAGCCGAAGATAGAAAACATAAACTCATGGGAGCTCCATGGCCCCATCCATCACCTGAGAAACCTGAATACTTATGCAGGTGATTTCAGGGCAAGTTTATGTCCCCCCTGTAGTACCACAGCTGATGCCCTCTTGAAAGTGCCACCTCCTGGCTGGAGGCCAACCAACTCAAGCCATTACGGCAACTCATAACAGAACAACCCTGCACCAAGGAAGGAGAAAACAACATCTAATTTCATTACCTGTAACATCCTGTTTAACCAGAGGTCCTGAGTCTGTCCACATGACAACTTCACTGCTAGCATAACCAGCATTCAAGAAAACCAATGTACTAAACAAAACTGCAACCAAGGATCCTCACAGAGTCCATTTCACTCCCCTGCTACCTCCACCAGAGCAGGTGGTGGTATCCACGGCTGAGAGACCTGAAGATAGATCACATCACAGGACTCTTTGCAGACACCCCCCACCCCAGTACCAGCCCAGACCCCAGTAGCTCTGCTGGGTGACTAGACCCAGAAGAGCAATAACAATCACTGCAGTCTGGCTCTCAGGAAGGGGGAGAACACCACATCAAGGGATCACCCTGCAGTACAAAAGAACATTAGTCCTTGGATCTCAGATCTTTCCTCTGGATATGGTCTATCCAAATGAGAAGGACCCAGAAAAACAATTCTGGTAATAGGACAAAACAAGGTTCTTTATCACCCCCACAAGATCACACTAGCTCACCAGCCATTAATCCAAACCAAGAAGAAATCTCTGAATTACTAGAAAAAGAGTTCTAAAGGTCGATTCTTAACGTTACTTAAGGAGGCAACAGAGAAATGTGAAAACCAGATTAAAGAAATTTAAAAAATAATAACAGATATGCATGAAAAGATCTCCAGAGAAATATATATCATAAATAAAAAACAATCACAACTTCTGGAAATGAAAGACACATTTAGAGAAATGCAAAATGCACTGAGAAGTTTCAACAGTAGAATCAAACAAGTAGAAGAAAGAGCATCAGAGCTTGAAGACAAGGTTTTCAAATTAATCCAATCCGATAAAGACAAAGAAAAAAGAATTTTTTAAAAAAATGAACAAAACCTCCAAGAATATTGGGATTATGTTAAGTGACCAAACCTAAGAATAATTGGTGTTCCTGAAGAAGAAGAGAAATCTAAAAGTTTGGAAAACTTATGTGAGGGAATCATCTAGGAAAAGTGCACTGGCATTGCTAGAGATCTAGACATCCAAATACAAGAAGCTCAAAGAACACCTGGGAAACATCACAAAAAAGATAATCACCTTAGGCACATAGTCATCAGGTTACCTAAAGTGAAGACAAAGCAAAGAATCTTAAGAGCTGTGAGGCAGAAAGCATCAGGTAACCTACAAAGGAAAACCTATCAAATTAACAGCAGCTATTTTAGCAGAATACAAGCTAGAAGGGATTTGGGTCCTATCTTTGGCATCCTTAAACAAAATTATCATCCAAGAATGTTGTGTCCAGTGAAACTAAGCTTCATAAATGAAGGAAAGATATAAAGTATTTTTCAGACAAACAAATGCTAAGAGAATTTGCCACTACCAAGCCAGCACTATAAGAACTGCTGAAAGGAGACCTAAATCTTGAACCTCAAAATATACCAAACAAACCTCTTTAAAGCATAAATCTCACAGGGCCTATCAAACAATAACACAATGAAAAAAGGCACTCAGGCAACAACTACCACAGTGAATAGAATAGTACCTTACATCTCAATACTAACGTTGTATGTAAATGACCTAAATGTGTCACTTGAAAGATATAGAAGGGCAGAATGGATAAAAATTCACCAACCAAGTATCTGCTGTCTCCAAGAGACTTAACACATAAGGACTCATAACTTAAGGTAATGGGGTGGAAAAAGATAGTCCATTCAAATGGACCCCAAAAGTGAGCAGAAGTAGCTATTCTTGTATCAGACAAAACAGATTTTAAAACAACAACAGTTTGAAAAGACAGAGGGACATTATGTAATGATAAAAGTATCCAACAGAAGAATATCACAATCCTAAATAGGGAACATACACAACTAACACTGGAGCTCCCAAATTTATAAAATAATTACTAGACCTAAGAAATGAGATAGATGGCAACACAATAATAGTGGGGGACTTCAGTACTCTACTGACAACACTAGTCAGGTCATCAAGCCAGAAAGCCAACAAAGAAACAATGGATTTAAACTATACCCTAGAACAAATGGACTTAACAGATATTTACAGAACATTCTACTCAAACTGCAGAATATACATTCTCTTCACCAGCACATGGAACATTCTCCAAGATAGACCATATGATAGGCCACAAGTCTCAATAATTTTTAAAAAATTGAAATTATATCAAGTACTCTCCCAGACCACAGTGGAATAAAATTGGAAATGAATTCCAAAATGAACCTTGAAAACTATACAAATACGTGGAAATTAAATAATCTGCTTCTGAATGATCTTTAGGTCAATAATGAAATCAAAATAGAAATTTAAAAATCCTTTGAACTGAATAGTAATAGTGACACAACCTATCAAAACCTCTGAGGTACAGCAAAAGCAGTGCTAAGAGGAAAGTTCATAGCATTAAATGCCTACATCAAAAAGTCTGAAAGAGCACAAATAGACAATCTAAGGTCACACTTCAAGGAACTAGAGAAACAAGAATAAACCAAACCCAAATCCCATCCATAAGTGGGCTAAGGACATGAATAGGCAGTACTCAAAAGAAGATATGTAAATGGCCAAGAAACAGATGAAAAAATGCTCAACATCACTAATGATCAGGGAAATGCAAATCAAAACCACAATGCAACACCACCTTACTCCTGCAAGAATGGCCATAATTTAAAAATAAAAAAAAAATAGATGTTGGTGTGGATTTGGTGAAAAGGAAACACTTACGTTGCTGGTGGGAATGTAAACTAGTACAAACACTGTGGAAAACATTATGGATATTCCTTAGAGAACTAAAAGAAGATCTAACATTTGATCTATCAGTGCCATGGCTAGGTGTCTCTCCAGATGAAAAGAAGCATTATGAAACACTTGCACATGCATGTTTATAGCAGCACAATTTGCAATTGCAAAAATATGGAACCAGCCCAATACCCATCAATCAATGAGTGAATAGAGAAAACTTCTTATATATAGAACATGGAATACTACTCAGCCTTAAAAAGGAATGAAATAATGGTATTTGCAGGAACCTGGATTGAGTGGAGACCATTATTCTTAGTGACAACACTCAGGAATGGAAAACTAACCAACATATGTTCTCGTTTTTAACTTGGAGGTAAGCTATGAGGACACAAAGGTGTAAGCATGATATAATGGACTTTGAGGGCCTGAGGGGAATGGTGGGAGTAGGGTGAGGGATAAAAGACTATACTTAGGGTACAGGCCGGGTGTGGTGGCTCACGCCTGTAATCCCAGCACTTTGGGAGGCCAAGGCAGGTGGATCACCTGAGGTCAGGAGTTCAAGACCAGCCTGGCCAACATGGTGAAACTCTGTCTCTACTAAAAATACAAAAGTTAGCCGGGTGTGGTGGCATGTGCCTGTAATCTCATCTTCTCAGGAGGCTGTGGCAGGAGAATCACTTGAACCTGGGAGGCAGAGGTTTCAGTGAGCCAAGATCACGCCATTGCACTATAGCCTAGGTGACAAGAGCAAAACTCTGTCTCAAAAAAAAAAAAATGACCATACTTTGGGTACAGTGTATATTGCTCAGGTGATGGGTGCACCGAAACCTTAGAAATCACCACTAAAGAACTTATTCATGTAACCAAACACCACCTGTTCCCCAAAGACTATTGGTTGTGGGGAAAAAAGTAGGTCAGGTGACCAGCCATCCTATCCTGGTTTGCATGGCCCAGAGTTTCAGTGTGAAACCAGGAAACATCTGAGCAAACCAGGATGAGTTAGTCACCCTAGAAGTAGGAATAATATGACTAATCTAAGAAACATGCTCTATGAATTTAGGTCTAGCATAAAGTCAAAATATCTTTCCTATGGGAAAAGAGGCGATTATAATATTTATGAAGAAGTAGTTCTGTGGTTCTCTGCTATTCCTTCAGTTTTAGTGTTCCTTGATTGTATCAAATTATATTCTATAAGTAGTATAGGACTATGTGTTGGATTTCTGGAAACCAATTTTGTGGGAGCAGTAGTAGGTAGTTGTAAAGAATAATATATTTGGATAGAACTGTCAGTTTGATTATATCTATTTTCCTCCCATTGAGGTAAATTGAAATCTGACCATGGTCATGTACTTTGACTTGATCTCCAACAGTGACAGTGGTGAAAGAGTCCATTTGCTGTATTTAAACAAAATAAAAATCTTCCAAATATACAGCAGCCTTCAAATAAAATTAGTGTACACTTCATTATACTTTTTGTTTTTATTTTTTGTTTAAAGAGACAGAGTCTTTCACTGTCACCCAGGCTGGATTGGAGTACAGTGGTGTGGTTATAGCTCACTATAACCTTGAACTCCTGAGCTCAAGCACTTCTTCTGCCTCCTTCTCCCGAGTCATTAGGACAGGTGCATGCCACCATGTCTGGCTAATATCTTCATTTTATAGACAGATCTTGCTGTGTTTCCCAGGCTGATCTTGAATTATTGGCCTCAAGGAATCCTCCTGCCTCAGCTTCCAATAGTGCTTGGGATTACAGATGGGAGCCACCGCACCCAGCCTGACCACTACAGCTTTAATCAAGCAAATAATGTTTTGAATTCTTTTTTCTAGCTAGAGAGGATCTGCCAGAAACAGAGGTGGAGTTTTAGTTTAGTAAAGAGAACGTATATTGCTCAATTTTACTTACTTAAGTACAGTTTTTTAGAGGTAATCCTATTTAATATTTGTGAATGCTAATTGTAAACGTGTGTTCTACCTTTGGGAACAGCATTATTGTTTTCATATGAGAAAGATTTTTCATCTTTTGCTGCCTGCTTTTTAAAAGCCTCATTGTTTTCTGAGATCACAGAAGTAATTTTTAGTTTTATAAAGGTTATGGAAGGGTATTTAAAAAGTAAGCCTGATTTTAAAAAATTATTTTGATTTTTTAAACACATTAATTTGGAGAGTCCAGGAGTAGAACCAACTCAGAATGTGATTAGATCTAAATAATGTGGGACAATAGTCTTTAAATAACTAACTAAAAATCAGTGTTTCTTGAGTAGAAGGATCGTAACTGGGATATTGAAGCCCAACTCTATTCTCTCCTAAAAATAAATCCAATTAGGCAAACTTCTGGTAACAGTTACTGTTTAGACTGTGAATAAATTTTCTTCTTGTGATGGTTTCTGATAGGTAGGCTAGTTATGCATAAATAAATGAGTCTTTGTTAAATTATATATAATAACCAGTTGTTAAATTGCCATTTCTTTTTTCTTTTTTTTTTTTTTGAGATGGAGTCTCGCTGTTTCGCCTAGCGGAGTCAGTGGCGCGATCTCGGCTCACTGCACTCCGCTAGGCGACAGAGCACTCCGTCTCAAAAAAAGAGCTAAAAGAGTGAATGTGCACCTTATTAGTCCAATTAAAGATTTGACCTATGTAGTATGCCCAAATGTAATATGCGTACATTTGATTGTTCAAAATAAAGATAAGACATTCTTTAGAAAAGGACTAAAGCAGAGATTAGAAGCAGGCATATTCATTTAACGGACTTATTGGAATATTCATTAAATAGCTCATATTCTCTCCCCGTCTGATACACTCAAACACACACACACACACACACACACACACACACGAGATGAGACACGCTGAGAGCCCATAAGGGCTTCTGAAAATGTGGGAGATGCGTAGTACTCCTTGAGCCAGTCAGGTTTAAGGCTTTGTGGAAAAGAGGCCCACAGGCCTTATGGCTTACTAAAAACAATCTTTAATCAGAGGGCATGGAATTACATGTCTTTAATCAAATCTCTGGTAGGGTTTGCTTAAAACTGACAAAATTGATATGTATCATCTTAAGGAACAATACTATGACCCTGTTGCATTTATTATTTGATCATCAGAAGAGTAACATTGGTCTAAAGTACATTTCTCTCCTGCAGATAACAAAACGATAGCTATCCCTGTGCAAGCACTCTGCTTAACACTTACTGCACATACCTTCACTTAATACTTACGACAGTCGTGTGTAGTGATATTTCTGTTTCCGTTTTATACTTTTACAGACTGAGGCCCAGAATGTTTGAAGAACTTGTCCAGGTTCACACAGCTAGCTTAGGAAATGGCAGAACTGAGATTTGAATTTTCATATGTTTAACTCCACTGTTTGGTACCTAGCATTCATACTTTTGCTTTTCCCAAACTTTGCATATTTTTTATAGTTTAAATATGTTTTTCTGGATTTTACATGGTAAAATGAATTTCAGATGTTAAATAAAACCCTTCAGTGTGAACTTTGATAACATAACCTACTTTTTTACCTTATAAACATGATAAAATTAGTATGCTTTATTTCAATTCAGTAATGTGCCATAGGAATCAATATGAACCTGGATCTAGTTTAATATTTTCATAATAAAATTAGAGGATATTAGTGATGGACAGAACCTTGCCTTCTTTGGTTAAATAAGCTTAATTGTTTATTAGAGAAGCTAAATGTCTTTCCCTAAGCCATAACTCTACTTGTTGGGAAGAAGCATCAGAACCCAGATCTCAGTTTTGTTCATGAATCATTTATGGAGGCTCTTTGGTGAAACAGGCACCGTGGCGTATATACCATGTGGGTATTATTCTATCTTTCAGAGAGCTCTTAGACACTTGAAAGCAGATAAACATTAAACTTAACAAGGTAAGTATGATGATGTAGGTATGCCTAGTGTGCCATAAAAGCGTAAAGAAAGGCCACTTATCTAGTAAGGGAGTTAGGAAGTTTTCTGGAGAACTTGTAGTTTGAAGTGTATTTTAAATAATGAATAAAGAGTTAAGGCCTTGTCCAAAAAAAATTGTGCATTGCTGCTTTTTACCCATATTTGGGTCACTCTTCATTCATTGAAAAGGTTTTGTACCAAGATCACTGTGTTCTTCTTTACCTGTACACTATTTCTGCTAGTGACCCTGACGTTATTGGGTATAATCGAACTGTCCTTTCAATTTCTTAATAGCCTCACTTCTTATTAGATTTTCTTTTACTTGCCTTATCTACCTCCTCCCATGGTTATACTCTACAGCTTTTCACTTTTCATTTTTCTTTTCATTTTGCCCGTTACCATTGACCTTTTCATTTTTCTGTCCTCTTCCATTTCCTCACTTTGTTTCTTAAACAATATACACAACCAATTATTTTTAATGAATATTCCAATAAGTCCATTAAATGAATATGCCTGCTTCTAATCTCTGCTTTAGTCCTTTTTTTTTTTTTCTGAGGCGGAGTCTCGCTCTGTCACCCAGGCTGGAGTGCAGTAGCGCTATTTCGGCTCACTGCAAGCTTCGCCTCCCAGGTTCTTGCCATTCTCCTACCTCAGCCTTCTGAGTAGCTGGGACTACAGGCACCCGCCACCATGACCAGCTAAATTTTTGTATTTTTAGTAGAGACGGGGTTTCACCGTGTTAGCCAGGATGGTCTCGATCTCCTGACCTGGTGATCTGCCCTCCTTGGCCTCCCAAAGTGCTGGGATTACAGGTGTGAGCCACCGTGCCCGGCCTTAATCTCTGCTTTAGTCCTTTTTAAAAGAATGTCTTATCTTAATTTTGAACAATCAAATTTAGGCATATTACATTTGGGCATTACTCCATAAGAAACATCTTTAATTCCATAGCCCTTAACTTGTTTTAACCATGAAAAAGCCATTCTTTCTCTCCTATCTCCCACACCACCCACAACTGAATATTGTGAGAGAAAATCATACATTCATTTTTACTAAGATGATTGACTTTAAATTGTTGATCATAATCTCAAATGGCCATCAGCTCTAGAATGTTTGCTTTTCTGCTCTCCAAAATGACTTAATGACTTACTTCAGAACTTCTCTTTTTTTTTTTTTTTTTTTTGGAGAAAGAGTGTCACTCTGTCTCCCAGTGCAATGGCAGTCTCGGCTCACTGCAACGTCTGGCTCCTCCCGGGTTCAAGCGATTTTCCTGCTTTGGCCTCCCGAGTAGCTGGGATTATAGGTGCCTGCCATCTCGTCCAGCTAATTTTTGTATTTTTTAGTAGAGATGGGGTTTCGCCATGTTGGCCAGGCTGGTCTTAAACTCCTGACCTCAGGTGATCCACCCAGCTCGGTCTCCCAAAGTGCTGGGATTACAGGTGTGAACCACCGTGCCTGGCCCGGAACTTCTCTTTGACATAAAATTTAATACGTACTCTTCTCCAATCCATTCGGGTTAACATCTTGCCTCATAAATCATTGAAAAATAGAATTGGTCAGGTAAGAATTCCTATCTTTACAGCTTTAAATCTCCCAACACATCTGCTTCATATTCAACCTCTCAGACTATTCTTCTTTTATGTTAGAAGTGTCACTTTCTATCAAGAGCTAATTCCTTCCCTCGTGCACTGGATCTTAACTCTTCTCACCTGTTCAAGGACTTTATTGTTTGTGTATTTTCACTTAAATATTTACTTCCTCACCTCCTAGATGTCCTCAGCCATCCATAGTTGAGCTTCTTCATCATAGTCTTCATCAAGCCCCAAACTGCTCTGGGAAGGCCGTCAATGACTTCCATATTGTTTCTTCCAAGGGTTCTTATTTCTTCTTTTTGTAACCTCTGAGCAGAGGTCAATCCTGTTCACCATTGTCGTTTTTCTGAAGTACTTCTCTTGGCATCCGCAATGCCTGGTTTCCTTTTTACTTCATTGACCACTTGTTTTTGCATATATTCTCCACTTGCTTCATATGAAAATGTTATAATATCAAATGGCTCTCAGTTATGGATCCTTTTATCATTGACCCAAATTTATGTCAACAACTCTGACTTTAATCCCTTAACTCTAGACCCATAGGTCAGATTATCTGCTTAATAGCTCTACTTGTATACCCTGGACACTCACCTCATAAGTTCTTCCTTTAGTCTTTGCCATTTCAGGAAATAGCACCATTGACCTATTTCCTTATGCAAAAACCTGAAACTTCTTTCTTTCATACTTTAATGTAATTTACCAGCAAATCCCACTGAATCTTTTTCCAAACATATCTTTAAAGTTTCAGTCTTATAGTTTCGCACAGTCGCCTCCTACCTGGTCTCCCTGCATCTCTTCTTAACCCCTCTATTCACTCTTTATGTATAATCCAGAGCAGTGTTTTTGAAACAATCACATCATGTCACTTCTGTGCTTACTCTTTTCCAGTAGCTTCCCAACATATTTAAAATACAATCCAAATTTCTTACCAAGACCAGTAAAGCCTCAAATGAGATATGATGTCTTCCTGTCTAGAATTTTATAATACCAAGCCTACTAATAATTGAGGAACTTTCCACTCATTTTCTCTGCCTTGAATGTTTTTCTTCCAAGTCTTTATTGACTTTCATTTAATCATGTAGTTCAATTGCAGCCCTTCAAAAGGCTTTTCCATTCATAGCAGCTAATAAAATAATGATGCTTATCCTTTACCAATTACTTTGCCACATTACTTTGCTTTGTTTCATTTTCACAGCAGTTACTTCTGTTCAAATTTATCTTGTTTTAGTGTCCTTTTCTTTTCTTTCCAAAAATGTAAGCTCTACCAGTACATGTGCTATCTCTGACTTACTTGTTGTCCTATGCCTAGTACGTTAAAACAGTGCCTAGTATGTGGTAAGTTTTAAATACAATTGTTGAATGATTGGAATTCAGTGTGTTATTTAAAAAATATATGCATGGTTATATCGTCATAGAAAAAGCATCTATGTTTTTTCTACTTCCTTTTCCTCCTGTTATCTCCTAAAAGGTTAAAATAGATGTACTCTGACAATCCTTTGGTTTTAGAAAGAACAACTCCTATAATCCTATAAAAAGATTTGACCAAGTACTTAAGTATGACCAAGCACTCTGGATTTGTGTACATCTTAATCGTTACATCATTTTTGCCACTTCTTTTTGGTTTGGGTTCCTTTTCTGGTTTCTGGGTTTCCAGTACCATTCAATTATGAAACACCTGTAATTTTTAAATAATTGAATTAAAAGTCGAGTTATGTGACTTCTGTTATCTGAATGTGTTAATGGTGTTTAAAACATGTTTTTGGAAGTATGTGTTGTGTTGATTTAGACCTAGTCTGCATATGAGAATGGGTATGATTGGGTGACACATATTTATTTTCTTTTTAGCTGCAGGTTATATACAGCACAATATCAAGTGAAAATGTTTATATTGCCAGAGCCCATTTACCTTCTCATAACTTCAGTTTATTTTTTAGGGTGTCATTCTAGAAGAACAATTACGAATGTATCTTCACTGTTGTTTGACACTTTGTGATTTCTGGGAGCCAAACATTGCAATTGTTACCATTTTATGGGAATATTATAGTAAGAACCTGGTGAGTGAATAGAATAGGAATTTGCTCCAGGAATTTTAAAAATTTGTACATATTTGAGGAATGTCTTTATGGTTTAATTATGAATAGTTATGGATTTTTCTTAAAAAGTTAATTTTTTTCAGAGTAGATTGGAGTAGCTCGTGAATAGTTTTATCTTTAACATTGTAGAGCTTTGTCATAAGGGAAACAGCATTTGGTATCCTTTTTCTCTTGAGAGCAAGGGTAAACAAAGTAGCTAAAATGTATCAGATATTTATAAAATCTTCATTTATAAATGTTTCTAATAATAATTGATTGCTCATGACACATTGAACAGGCACTGCTGTCCTGAGTAAGAAACAATCCTGGCATTTGAGTAGCTTATAGGCTACTAGTGGGTGGGTATACATACATTGTGGGAAAAAAGTTATAATTGTGGAACTCCAGAGGAGAGGGTATCTAACCCGGTATCTGTATTTGTGGAAGACTTCATGAGGTCATAATTTTTGAACTTGGCTTTGGGAATGAGTAGAATTTTCTAACAGAAGAAAAAGGGATCCAGGCAGAATGAACAACATGGACAAATACATGGAGGTATGAAAAAGCATGGTCTGTTCCTACCATGTTAAATAGTTCTGAATTATAGGCCTCGGATAACTATGGAGAGACCGAAGATAGGAGACTAGAGAAGGCAGTCTGGGGCTAGGCTATGAAGGGTTGAAGATAATGTACAGTTAATTCTGGTTTATTCAGGAGACACTAAATAGCGAGGATGTGACTTAGGTATGTGTTTGAGAAAGCTTTTTTTTTTTTTCTGAAAGTGGTGTAAATGAATTGGGTACAGACAACTTAGTGGTTTATTGTAGTTGTATGAGCAAATGATACTATGGCTGAGAACTGAAATAGGAACAATATATTTAGAAAGGAGAGGATGAGTTTGGAAGATTGAAAATTTAAAGGTAGATTTAAAGGATTTATACTTTGTATATAGAAAGGAAATTTGGGATGTTTTGGGTTTGGGGTAAATAATTAGTGAACCTCTCAATCAAAATAGAAAATGGTAATGGAAGATTTACAAGTAAATAATGTTTGGATTTGTGGATAATGGAGCTTATTAAAAAATTAGAAAAATGCCCTTCTCTGAAGCATAATTTTAGGCTAGTTGGAGAAATGACTGATTGTAGTCTTGAGGCAGGAAGAGTCCAGGGTGAGTCTAGGGTGTCTTGTCATACCAGAAAGCAGGAAAGGTATCAAATTAAGCTAGAGTCATGTCAGAAGAACACAGGAGCCAACCTGAAGGAATGTCCATTGCCCAGAAAATGGGAAAATTTGAGCATAAGAAAGAATAATGACTGCAATAGATTAAAACATATTAAATATGTTTAAATCTCTGAGTTTATGCTTCTTTGTAAAAAGTTACTCTGAAAAAAGAAACACCTAATTCTGAAAACTGTAAAGAAAATACAAACTATATTTTAGAGTAATCAGATTTCTGATGAGTTAATTAAGAAAACGTGATAGAATTAGAAGTCACCATTTTGTACATTTAATGAAATAAGGCATCTGGGCAATGATCATCAATGCTACGAAAACTGTTAAGTAAAAGGCTTGTGGGACCACTAAAATGGGTGGACCAGGCTGATAACCTGACCAGTTTTAACATCACAAAAAGTCAGAACTTATGTGCCTTTTTACTAAATGCAATAGGAACTACTTAGTACTACTGATGAAAGATTCTTGTCAAAAAAGTCAACATAAATCTGATGAAACCTCTAGATATAGCCACCAATTTACAGAAAAGGGAAGGGAAAAAAGATTAAGTAACACTAGAGCCATACAAGCAGCTAAATTTAGAACATGGGAAATTTTATACAACCAATGACCTGATATTAAAAACAAGTGGTATAACAAAAACATTGGGAAACTTAAAGAATAAAAGAGCCCACAGTGCCATGCATATCACTGAATGCAATGTATGGATCTTGTTTGTATCCTAATTTGGACAAATCAACTGTTAAAAACACATTTGGGGGACAATCCAAAATTTGGACACCTCTTGATGCTCTGTACTTTCATGGAATTTTTATTTTAGAGAATCGTGTTCATGTAGTTTTTGTGATTAAGATGAGTCAGACTTTTGATGAACCAACTAACTGGGATTTGCAGCTTACCATTTTATTTACTAAGAGACTAATAATTGTTTTCTATCTTTTTTTTCCCCCCTTTTAGAATAGTTCCTTCAGTATTTCTTGGCTTCCTTTTAAAGGCCTTGCTAATACCATGAAGTCACCCTTGTCTATGCTTGAAATGGTGAAGACTTGCTGTTGCGATAAACAAGATCAGGAACTATATAAATCCAGCAGTAGTTATACTATTTTTCTTTGTATTCTGGCAAAAGTTGTTAAAAAAGCAATGAAGAGCAATGGCCCTCATCCTTGGAAACAAGTCAAAGGAAGGTATATGCAGTATCTTCTGTCATGAGTGTGCACTGATATCTTTGGATAGGTGTTACTATTTGTATTTTGTTATGTTTACTTGGGATTAGAGTCTTAATTAGTTATAATGTTACTAGGTAATCCATTATATGCATTTGATTAAAAGTGATAGAAACAAACATCTTCAAGTTGTACGTTGGTAGGTAATAGTTTCAACATATAAAACTTTTGTGTTCTTTGAGCCCAGCGGTTCACAAGCACTGGTTTTTTTGGTTTGTTTTGTTTTTTAAATGAGAACTGACCACAGTATAGTAGAACCAGATAACTAATGTTCTCATTTGGGAACTATGCTGTTTTCATTTCTGATAAAATAAACTTTGGTCACATTAGTCCATTGTTTTCTCTGTCTCTTTTGAGAGTTTTGCTTGTTCAATGAGTATACTTTTAAATTGTCTTTCTTTTTTCTACTTCCTTTGCCTATATTAGCTCTTTTCTTAGCCTTCTTTGTGCAGTACACCACCATCTACCACTTGCTCAGATTATTTGTTGAGACCTCTCAGGGAAGAGAATACTAGGTAGGGACTTCTCAAGAATCACTTAATGAAATTCCTGTTTGAGTCCCACAGTGAGTAATTCTTATAAGGGTATGGTGATATGGTTTGGATATTTCATTTGTCATATACTGTTTTAAATGCCAGCTTCTTTATTAAATCTACAAGAATCACATGGCTTAAACAGTTTTTTTTTATTTTGTTCTATTTGACAGTTTGTTTTTGAATCTTAAGCAATTTTATGGAAGACATAATACTCAGAACTTTATGGCTAAAAGAAGTCATTGGAGTTTATTCAATAACAAGTCTATTAGACACATACTATATGTCAAGCACTATAGTGGGGATAGTAGTAGACAATACAAAGATAATTAAACAGATTTTTACTTTTAAGAGTTTGTCAGCTTTTAAGTATTTATAAACATTTAACTCTCATGAGCATTACTCATTTCTGTCCTGAATAAGCCAGTTATAGAAGTTGCAAAACTTAAGGCCAGGTGTGGTGGCTCACACCTGTAATCCCAGCATTTTGGGAGGCTGAGGTGGGCGTATCACTTGAGATCAGGAGTTTGAGACCAGCCTGGACAACATGGTGAAATTCTGTCTCTACTAAAAAAAAAAAAAAAAAAAAAATAGCCAAGCGTGGTGGTGCGTGCCTGCAATCCCAGCTACTCAGGAGGCTGGGGCAGGAGAATAACTTGAAACTGGGAGGTGGAGGCTGCAGTGAGCCTAAATTGCGCCACTGTACTCCAGCCTGGGCAACAGAGTGAGACTCCGTCTCAAAAAAACAAAAAACAAAAAACCAACAACAACTTAATTCGTAAGTAGGAATTCAGATGAATTGTTTTCAATTCTAACCCCTTAATTGATGAAAGAAAAGAATGTCAACTATTAACTATATTATCTATTGTACTATTTTGTCAACTATTGTATTAAATAGTATTGATGGGAGATTTTTAAATGCATAGTTCTTTGCAGATGGCTACAAAGAATTTTTCTAACGCCTTGCATTGTCTTAAGGTATAAGTAAAATAAGAGCAAGTGTTCGTGAGGGGGTGCAGGGAGAAAAGAGTTTAAGGAAAATTGTTACATAAAATTGTCCTGTTAAGATCTCTGTAAAAGCATATCAAATTGTATTTAAAAGATTATATATTCTTTCTTATTTACTAATCAAAATAAGAAAAGAAAGGTGATGGGGGACTTGAATAAAAGGAAAAGCCATGTACTATATGAAAACATTTCTACTTTCCTTTGGGGAAAGCCATTGAATCCTTTGATTCACTTACAGGTGATTTGCTGCATCATTGGGAAATTTCAAGGTAGGGCCATTATGTGTTTTCTAAGTAAAAAAAGTGACAAGGCAGCATCAAAATAAAGAATTAGCTTAAAATTTAATGAGATTGTTATGAGTATTGAAACAAATTTTCTTTTAAGAGATACAGATTTTTGTGAATGAAACAATTTTATTAAAGCATTTTTTAATGTTTTACAGAATATATTCAAAATTCCATCAAAAAAGAATGGAAGAACTAACTGAAGTTGGTCTACAGAACTTTTTTAGCCTTTTTCTACTGTTAGCAGCTGTTGCAGAGGTAGAAGATGTTGCAAGTCATGTTTTAGACCTCCTGAATTTCCTCAAGCCTGCTTTTGTAACGTCTCAGAGAGCCCTCATTTGGAAGGGTCACATGGCCTTCCTCTTGATGTATGCCCAGAAAAATCTGGACATTGGTGTTTTGGCTGAGAAATTTTCATGTGCTTTCCGGGAGAAAGCAAAGGAATTCTTGGTGTCTAAGAATGAGGAAATGGTACAGAGACAGACTATCTGGACCCTTCTTTCCATATACATTGATGGTGTTCAAGAAGTGTTTGAGACCAGCTATTGCTTGTATCCTTCCCATGAAAAACTGCTTAATGATGGATTTAGTATGCTTCTGCGAGCATGTCGAGAATCTGAACTTAGGACAGTATTGAGCTTCCTACAAGCTGTTCTGGCCAGAATCAGGTATGGTTTTCAGTTGTATGCTAATTTATGATTTGTTTTATATAATTACTTATGTGGATTTTATATTAAAGTTATATATATGCATATATACAAATACACATGAAATCCAAATGTAGAGGAAGGATTTAGTTTTCTACTACATGGGCATAAATCAGTACAGGTTGAATATATCCGTGTACTAAAATGCTATTATATGAAAAGCTTGGGACTAGAAGTGTTTTGGATTTTGGATTTGTTTAGATTTTGGAATATTTGCATATGCATAATGAGATATTTTGAGGAGGGGACCCAAGTCTAAACATAAAATTCAGTTATGTTTCACATACATCTTATACACAGGCTGAATGTAATTTTATGCAACATTTTGAATAATTTTGTGCATGAAACAAAGTTTTGACTGCAACCCATCCCATGAGGCCAGATACAATTTTCCACTTGTAGTGTCATGTTGGCACTCAAAAAGTTTTGAATTTTGGGGCATTTTGGATTTTGAATTTTCAGATTAGTGAGGCTCAACCTGTAGTTTTCAAGCTGTTTTTCAAACAATAGCTTTTCAAAAGAAAGCTTATATGCAAACACAAGATGCAGAACTAAAGTCAAGAGCAGCTCTGGTGCAGTCTGAGAGCCATGCTTTCTCTTAGCCCTTCCTTCCCCTGCTACCTCTCAGAAAAGTGTATTATTACCCAGAGATACGTTACAGATATTCTGAGCAAGATCATGAGCTCATGTCTGAGGTGGCTTTTACTGAAGCATTTGTAATTTTGTGCCCATAAGGAAGTTTTGGTCACATTACACCATTTTTTAAAAGTGACTTTCTTTAAATTTTTGCAGCAAAGTCATAGCCTTAGCTGCATCAAATGCTTTGAAATAAACCAGTTTGCTCTGAAATTAACATAGATAATTCTATTAATAACACCAATCACCTATACAAAACTTACTGTTTTTCAGATCCACTTAAATTATGCAGATATGTTAAATACACTCAGACACAAACTTGATGTGGATAAGAACAATGGTTATGATATTTATTGCCTTTAGGCACTTTTCACATAGCAGTTTTACCTTTGAAGTACATGTTCTTAAGAAGTTAAATACTACCACTCAGTATGGTTACTCACTGTCACAGAAAATGATTGTATTTGAAATCATGTCCAAAGATAAACAGACTGCTTCCCTCCTCCTAATATCATATTACAAATGTTGCATCTGTTTTTCAGAGGTGCTAAGCTTGGCAAGATTTCCAAATTTTGGGAATTTATTTATTATCAAATTTATTTCTATTACTAGCTTGATTTTCTCTATTCTATGCCGTGTTTTCATGGCGGGTTTTATACTTCTTCCAAATGCCAACTTTGTTTTATTTCTTCAGTTTTTAAATAAATGTTAAGTGATTCCCTGTGCTTCTTGGGAAAATTAGAAATTTTTATGTTTCCAATATCAGTTTTGGTTTGTCTCTATATATCTGTCTGAATATACAAAACAAGAAGGAAGAGGAGGGTGTTGGTCTAAGCCATCCTGGTCATGGAGAACTATAGTCCCCAAAAGATGTCAGAGCATAGGAATAAGAAAGGAAGAAAGAGTATGGGCATCTTCAGAAGAGGCAGTCGTGGGGAAAAAAGTAGCAGAATCCATATATCTTTCTGCCTTTTCTGAAAATAGATAAGTCCTTTTTAATTCTTTTTAACAATTATATTGCTTCTTACATAGTTTTTTTTTTCCTCATAGGTTCGTATCCTACAAGTACTTTAAATTTAATGTGTTAATTAAAAATTTCTGGCAATCTTTTTGGTTTTTGTTAAAATTATCTTTATATTGTTTGTGTAATATATTATCATTTTACAAATGGGGGACAAAAGAGATATAAAGTGACAAGTAAATCTGTCTCCTCAGCTTCACTTCTTCATTCTCTAGTTCAGTAGTTCTCAACTGGGAGTGAGTTGTCCCCCAGGGAACATTTGGATGCCTGGAGACATTTTTGGTTGTCACAACTAGGGGGACAGCACTGGTGAGGTCAGAAATGCTGCTAAACACTCTACAGTGCTCAAGACAACTCCTACAACAAAGAATTATGTCGCCCATCTTCAGCAGTGCTAAGGTTGAGATACATTGCTCTAGTTCTAATCCATAGAAATAAAATTGTTTCTATAGAACCTTCCAGATATCTCCTTCCTACCTACATACATATATATACACACACTATATATGTATTTTTATATATATACATATATGTATAAAGAATGTATAAAGAATGTATAGGATATACACATATGTGTATATAGAATATATACATATATATTTTGAGACGGAGTTTCACTCTGTGCACCCGAGCTGGAGTGCAGTGGCGCCATCTCGGCTCACTGCAACCTCCGCCTCCTGGGCTCAAGCAATTCTCCTGCCTCAGCATCCTGAGTAGCTGGGATTACAGGCACACACTACCACGCACAGCTAATTTTTATGTTTTAATAGAAGCAGGATTTCACCATGTTGGCCAGGCTGGTCTCGAATTCCTGACCTCAGGTGATCCACCCGCCTCGGCCTCCCAAAATGCTGGGATTACAGGCATGAGCCACTGTGCCCAGCCGTATATTTAAAACACAAAATAGATGATCTTTGTTTTGCAAATTCCTTGTTTTATTTAATATTTCCTGAACAGCTTTTCATGTTAAAACATGAAAACCTACCTAATTCTGTTAAATGACTATTTACTGTCTCATTATATAGATGTGCCAAACTTTATCCAGTTGCTAATAATGGAAATGTGTATTGTTTACCAGTTTACGTTTATTTAACATCTTTGTAAATGTATTTCTGTGTACTTGTGGAAGTATACCTATAGATTAATTCTTAAGAATGAATTGGTGTATGTGCATTTTAAATGTGAATAGATGTTACCAAATTTCATACCAAAAAAACCCATTGTACCAGTTTTTACTCTCACTGATAATGTATGAAAAAGCTTCCATTCTCATTTTTAGATCATTGTATGGAGTGTATTTAGAAAAGCATTCTAAGATAAGAAATAAGGCTGGGCGTGGTGGCTTATGCCTATAATCCCAGCACTTTGGGAGGCCGAGGTGGGCGGATCACGAGGTCAGGAGATGAGACCATCCTGGCTAACAGGGTGAAACCCCGTCTCTACTACAAATACAAAAAATTAATCGGGCGTGGTGGCGGGTGCCTGTAGTCCCAGCTACTCGAGAGGCTGAGTCAGGAGAATGGCCTGAACCCGGGAGGCGGAGCTTGCAGTGAGCCGAGATCGTGCCACTGCACTCCAGCCTGTGTGACAGAGCGAGACTGGGTCTCAAAAGAAAAAAAAAAAAACTTCGAGACCAGCCTGGCCAACATGGTGAAACGCCGTCACTACTAAAAATACAAAAGTTATGGGCATGGTGGTGTGTGCCTGTAATCCCAGATACTCAGGAGGCTGAGGTAGGACAATTGCTTGAACCCGGGAGGTGGTGGTTGCAGTAAGCCGAGATCACGCCACTGCACGACTCCGTCTCAAAAAGAAAAAAAAAAAGGTAAGAAATGAAACACAGAAGTTTGTTAACAATGTCAGTTGAAGCTTGGTAATAGGCGTATTAGACTTAATTTGAAGGCTGGATAGACATTAAAAATACAAAGAAAGCAAAAAAGAGAGGAACTCTTTTCTCTATTTCACATTCATTCACCAACTTCATCTTATCTTGAATCTCCTAACTGGAACTTTTCTTGGTATGTAATTCTTTAAAAATAGTAACTAGAAACACAAGAATAATTCTTACATTCTTGAAAGAGTTAATGCTTATAAATACTGTCTTCTTTATTCTTTACTAATCCTGCCATCCCTATTTATAGGTGAAAAAAATGGAAACAGAGACTTTTTTGTGGCTCATCTAAAATAACACATTTAAATTTCAGAACTGGCACTCAGACTCTTAACCAACTATACCACAGCTGCCTTCTTACACTATATTTTTAATTAACTTACTTAATTTTCTTTTCTTTTTATTTTTACAGGTATAGAGGTTACAAGTGCAGTTTTGTTACATGCATATATTGTGTAGTGGTAAAATTTGGGCTTTTAGTGTAACCATCACCTGAATGGCTTATACAGTCTTTATAAGTTTACAGATAACTAAACCAAAACTAACCATACCACTACATTAAAAAAAAAAAAATTAGAGATGAATGAATGAAATCTGCAAACTTATTTGCAAACCTGAAATTATTACCACTATTTGTATAATTCTGAGTGCTTTTACATTTTGTTTTTGCTACAAAAAAAGGGGTAGTTGCTTATTGGGGACTTTTGATTACTTTCTTTTTATTTTGTAAGTTTTTTTTTTTTTTAAATGAGTCAGTTGGAAAAAATGATTTGAGAGGTGTGGAGACAAGTATATCACATTTTATTTATAATAATTTGTCTTTGATTTTTTTAGTACTATTCCAACCCTCTAAATTTCACTTCTTGCAATAAAAACAAATTTTTGCTCCTTAAATTCAATTTAGTAGAAATCCTTTAGCATTAAAGCCAAAGTTATTTCAGGAGTGTTAGAAAAATATTTCTTGCAAATATATTGTGAGTTATGATGTATCTGTTAGTCTGTGGGACACTATTCAGAAGTACAGAGGTAGAAATCAAAAAAGGATGATGAAGAATGACAATTATATAAAGTGAAGTTAAGTTTACATTGATAGGAAGAGTTTCTTGTAACTGCACCTGGATTCAATTTGTAGTTTGCTGTCCTCTGGAGTGTGAGTAGGTGATAGGGGGTTGTGCTATTGGCCTTCAGGATTAGCCTGTGCAAAAAGGATCAGATGTTTATGTTGATAACATTTGATTCCTTTCACAAATGTCTGTTTTGGTTTTGTCTTATGCTGTCAACTATGATTGAAAACAATTGCCATAAAAAACCCATCAAATCATGTTCAGCTTATATTGCCCAAATCAGCAGTTTTAACAGATACAAGTATAAGGTCAATGTATGAATAAAAATAGTGCAGCAATATGCAAGTCTTTATTAATGCTGTTGTATTTTAGGTACTAACATACTTTAGTAATTTGCAAACAGATTACTGTATGTAATAAAAGGAACTATGACTTGGATAGGTTCATTTTATCCCATCAGTTTTTAGCATTTCCAAGGCAAATATTATCAAGGCAGTCCAGCCTTTAGTTTGGGATTTATTGGAGATGGGCCCAAGAGATCATTCAGGATTGTTTACCTTAAAAATAAAGAAAGAAGGGAAGAAGAGTTGGACAGGAAACAAGAAAAAGTTATTTAGGTATTCAGTTATGGAGATGTATTCCTAATTTCTTAACCCCAAATCTGGAACTTCATTCAAGATTTTTTGATAGTAGTTTTTTAGATATGCCATATACTGTTAATACTATCGGGTCAAAAACATTTTGGATAGTTGTTAAAAATTAAAGCATAAGCTCGCCGCCCCCTTTAGTTAAGAGCAGAGCTAAGTTATTTGAATTTGGGTTTAGGTAAGGAAGATGGATTATATAGATTGATGATATTTATTCCTGGCTGCATCTCTGACAAGGGAAATAATGAAATACTTAAACCTTAGCCATCTCTTCTGTTTTCAAATTCAGGTGGGAATAGGTACCAGTCCTTGCAAAAATGTGTGTATAAAGTGTGTGCGTGTGTGTGTTGAACTGGGTAATAGTTTTACAACTGTATGACAGAGAAATTATAGGTAGGAAGGATCTATGATCACTGATTAAAGAGAAAAGCAGTTCCCTCTAGGCTGTTTAGGAATAATAACTTCATATGCTTCTTTCTGCTAACTGGAGCTGATGGCTCACCAGAGCATTCTTTATTGCTGATTAAGTAGCATTGTGAAAATACTGACTTGGTTATGTTAACTAAATGCCTATGTTTAAAACTTCGAATGTCAAATAGTTTTAGCAGTCATCTTTAACATTTCACATTACCTCTCTGGAATCACATTTTAAGTTCTCACTTGCTGTTATTTGAGGTTAATATAAAAATGGCAGTCTTTCATTTGTGGAGTTAGGTGTAGCCAAAAGCTTTCCTTTAATTATATCCATTCATGCTGCTATAGTTGAGGGTCTGTCAGCATTTCCATTATAAACCTCCATTTTCGGGGTTTTATAACACAGCTATGAAAATTAGCTCTGGGCAAAAACTTGACATACAAGGCCTCATGAGATTCTCCCTCCCTCCCCATCCCCCTTTTTCATTTTTACTGAAGTAAGGGTGAGTGATTTCAAAATGCCTTTTGGCATCTGAAAATACCATTTGGAGTTTAAAAAGAAACAATAAATTTTCAGGATTTGTACCTGTTTGTTCTACCACTTAAGGGAGGTTGTGGACTTATGAATTTAAGCCAAATAGATATTGATCAACTGACATCCTATTTTGTATTAAACAAGAGACTAGTTTCAAAGATGTCTAAAGGCAGTTGAGAACTTGCCTAAAATGCTAAATACTGAGACTAAGAAATAGTTCAGAAGCGATAATTACCTTTTTGAGATGCTGTGTGCTGAACTACAACTTCTTCAAAGATTAAGGTTATTTTCCCTGGCTTCAAAATACATTTTGAAAATATATATATATTTAAATTCCTTTTTTTCTCTCCCTATAAGGCTAGAAGATCATCTGCTTGTTTTATAACTGTTTTGACATTTGAAGTGTTTGTGTATGAGCATGTAGAGAAAAACTGTTTATTATTCTCTTCAAATATTTTTATGCTCAGTAGTTTTATTGGTATGGTATTATTTATTCTCCCCAAAGATTTTTGGTTTTTCTTTGCTTCTGTAAGAGAACTGGGGATTGCCTAGGCAAAAAAGGAGGTACAAGAGGAACTGTTCACTTGAGGGGCTGCTGTATGCCAAATAATTTATATAATATTTCAGGAAAAATAGAAATGATACTTTTGACAGCATGCAAGCTTTTTCTTCCTTTTGTTATTGGGTGTTCTATTAGTATGAATGGGTTACAGCTTTTAATTATTGACAGTTTACAACAAACAAATTTGAAACTGGATAGAATTTTTAATCAAATGAGTTATTTCTGTAGTTTGCTCAAAATGTCTGCTCTTTCATTATATATAATTTTATGGAAATTTTGAGGCAGTGTTCTAATAATTTTTGGGAAACACATGTGTATGCCCTCATGGTAATAAAATCTATTACCAGTTTTTATTTGAAAAACCAAGTAGAGATATTGTTGCTTACAAGGAGTAATCCATTGCCTTTTTTCGTTCCTTCAGAGAAAGCATGGGTATCTCTAAGGGAATACAGTATAAATCTTAGTATTTCAGGAATGTATAAAATATGTAAAGAAAAACTTTTTTTCCTAGTTAAATATTTTTTATATCTTTCAGCTGAGTATTTAGATATATACTATAAATTAGTATTTTCACCTTATTTACTCTTTATCAGGCTTGAATTTGGCATAATGTATTTCTATTACATATTTTATAATCCCATGCAGTAATATAAACTACTCAATATATTAGCTTTGCAGAGTTCCACTTTTTTGTGTTTTGCTGAAACATAGATTATCTCCTCAGTTTTTCACGCATAGGAATTAGTATTTGGGTCACTTTTTCAGTCCCTATCTAAATCCGGTACATAGATACGAGTTTTCCTTAAATAAGTATAAAGCGATTCATTTAAAATAATGTGAGGAAAAACTTATGTGCCAAAATCTTGACTTACTTATTTGTAAAATGAGGATAATACCACCTACCTCACTAGAATGTTTTGGGAATTATATGCAATAATGAATATAAGGCAGTTAGCAAATTGCCTGGCATATCAGTAAGTGTTCAATGAATGTTAGATAATGCTATCATCATAAGTATTGTTTTCAAAAGAACTCATAATCATTTCTTCGTTATGCTTTATGCCTGGCAACATCAATGGACGTGTGTGTGTGTGTGTGTGTGTGTGTGTGTGTGTGTGTGTGTGTGTCAGGGGTCTTATCTTGGATGGTTTTTTTACCCATTCTTAATATAATACTTCTAGCATAGTGACCATTGAGCAAGTTTTGTTGTTGTTGTTGTTGTTTTAGTGTGTAATGAATCGTTTTCTTTAAAAACAAAGAATTGTAGGAAACAACATTGCCTCACTGCAGTGGACCCATTGGAAATTGTAATGCTATGTTACTGAGTGCTGCTGTAGAAAAAGTAATTTTTAAAGGTACAAATGTGACATATATGTATACCCTTTCTTTTTATAATCAGCTGATTCTTTTGGTAAGGTGGGGAGCGTGTGTCTTCTTTGGTGAATTCCTTTTATCTTCTTTCTTTTATTCTCACAGATGTCATTACCTCTGTTTTTAAAACATTAATACTACTTGCCTAATCACCCTGCCTCCAATGCCTTCCTTCCTCAGATTATCTTTTTTAATGGCTTTATTGACATATAATTCACATATCATAGAGTTTGCTAGCTTTATTCAGATATAATTCACACACCATACAATTTATTGGTTTTTAGTATATTCATAGTTGTTTTGTACCCATCACCACTATTTTAGAACATTTCATTACATTAAAAAGAAACTTTTAGTGACACTCTAATAGACACAGTAGAAAATTTCACATTTCTTATCATGGTCTTTAAAGCCATCCACAGTCTTCTTTTACCTTAATCTGTAACTTTTTCTTGTGATTCTCCTTTAGTCAGATGGAGCTACTAGTTCTCAAGAAATCCCCAAGTCTTTCTACCTTTATTTATATCTTCTTGTCCAACGAAGTTGAGGGTCAAAGTTGACAAGTTTGACCTCTTGTCAAAACCAATTGAGGGTTCAGGCCAGAACATGACCAGTATAGCAGAGCTGAAGCTGAGGACTGAATAAGCATGTCATGTGAGAGTCACTGCTTAGAAAAAGGTTAAGTTGGGGGAATGGAAGTAATTGTCAAAATCAAGAGTCAGAAGTGGTCAGTGTTGGTAATAGTAGACATAGGGGTGAGATGGCAGAGTATAGAAAAAGAAAAAACTAGAGGTATTTGAGGAGAATGGAAAGTGTTTTCAGAAGTTAGTAGTATGTTGATGAGAGGTAGAGATGGAATTAAAGAGCATCATATATGGGAGGAGCCAGTATTCCAGGCAGGAGACTTATGCACACAGCAAGTTTTGCTTTTTGCCTTTGCTTCTTAAGGAACCTCTAGTAGTGCCTGATAGTTGCTGCTGTCAAAACATTGTATTAAAAAGCAGGAGCTTTAAGGTCAGTAAACCTGAGTTCAGATCACCCTCTTTCATTTACCAACAGTGCAATCTTAGGAAGTTACTTAATCTTTTCTAAGTTTCAGCTGCATCTTTGTAAAATAATATCCACCTCATAGGATTTCCATGAACATCTGCTTAGATTTCTGCTGTCCAGTAGGGTAGCACTAGCTATGTGTGACAGTTTAAATTAGTGAATATAAAATAAAAAATTCAACTGTTCTGTAACACCAGCTATATATTAAGTCCTCAATAGCTATATTTAGTTAGTGGATAATGTAGTGGATAGCAGCAGAAAGACTTGCCAAGGGATAGCACTGACTTTGATGCTGCACCTGTCCAGAACATGAATCATAATAAGCTTTCAGTACATTCAATACATGTTGGTTTTCTTCATTTATCTTTTCTTCATTTTTTTGTGAATAATATTCATGTCAAGAAGCTTCATGTCAAGCTTCTCTTGAAATGCATGCTTGTACATTTCAAGAGAAATGTATGCTTATCCGTGTGTTACCAGTTGATATGGTTTGGCTCTGTGTCCCCACTCAAATCTTATCTCAAATTGTAATCCCCACGTGTCGAGGGAGAGACCTATAATCCTCCATGTGTCAATGGACAGAGGTGATTGGATCATGGGGGTGGTTCCCACATGCTGTTCTTGTAGTATTGAGTGAGTTCTCACGAGATCTGATGGTTTTATAAGCATCTGGCATTTTCCCTGCTAGCAGCTCTTCCTCCTGCTGTCATGTGAAGATTTCTGCTGTCCAGTAGGGTAGCACTAGCTATGTGTGACAGTTTAAATTAGTGAATATAAAATAAAAAATTCAATTCAGGGGTCCTTGCTTCCCCTTCACCTTCCTCCATGATTTTGGGTTCCCTGAGGCCTCTCTGGCCATGGGGAACTATGAGTCAATTAAACCTCTTTTCTTTATAAATTACCCAGTCTAGGGTGTTTATGGCAGTGTGAGAACCGACTAATACACCAGTCTTGAATAATCTCTATTCCTGTTGAATTTCCTGAATAGTTACTAAATCTCTAATGTCCTTTATTGTTTTTTACCTTGTGTTGTAATTATTTTCTAAAGGGGAGACATATTCATGAAAAACAATTTATTCAACAAATTTAACTAGTATTTTTGAATGCCTACTATGATAGTAGGCACTTAGGATATATCAGTGAACCAGTCACATGAAGCATATGTAGTATGCACTCATGTATTTTTTACATGAAAGACTAAGATGGTAGAGAGGAAGGACAAAGAAACTTGTATTTATTTAAACCATCACTTTTTCACCATTTCATACTACTTGCTAATGGTTTATACTTGTCCTGAAATTTTATATGCTTATCCAACAATTCTTGCCAGTGTCCATATGCAAGCAGACAACAGTATCCATGCAGTCAGGATATGGATTTAATGCATAATCTGAATTTCATCTCTGTGTTTATTGTCTTCTAAGTACCCATGGGTAGAAGGGACCTCTAGAGGATGATAGGAGGTTTGTTCTTCCCAGTTGAAAGGTTTTCGGTGTTATTGAAAAATTCAGTGTGTTTTCCTTAGTATTTTCTGGATGACTATTATTATTTTATCTTTCTAATTCACTAGTTATCATTGAATTTTTTCCACTGAACTATGGAAACAGGTGCAGCAAGTGGGTCCTTTGAGCCTTTACCTTCCTTTTGAGACATTTCGGAACCAGTCTCTCAAGGCTGGGTCTGCAGGAACACTTTGAATCTACAAGTGCAGATTGTCTGTATTGGGATTAGAGTGGAAGGAAGGCATTTGGAAGAGGGAACTTAGAAAATGGAATGAAGGAAATAATCAATAAAACAATTTAAGAAAATTTCTCAGAACCGAAGATTCTGTAATGAAAGGGCCTATTGAGTGACTCCAGCACAACATAAGAAAATAGAATCACAGCAGGGTCCATCTGTGAGAAATTCAAAATACTAGCTACAAAGAAAAGATATCAAAGCTTTCACAAACGTTCCTCACCCTTGTTAGTCTTCTGGTTTTTTATTTGCTATGCCCCTGATTATAATCTGTAGTTGTAATCTAGGTCAGAGCTGATATTTAACCCCAGTTCCTAATAATTATATAATTAACGTGGGAGGTGAATGAAGCTTTATAATTAGATTTTATTTGGCTGGGTGCAGTGGCTCACACCTGTAATCCTAGCACTTTGGGAGTCTGAGGCAGGCAGATCACCTGAGGTCAGGAGTTTGAGACCAGCCTGGCCGACACGGCGAAACCCCACCTCTACTAAAAATACAAAAAATTAGCTGGGCGTGGTGGTGGGCACCTGTAATCCCAGCTACTCAAGGGCTGAGGAGGCTGAGGCAGGAGAATCGCTTGAACCTGGGAGGTGGAGACTTCAGTGAGCCGAGAATGCGCCATTGCACTCCAGCCTGAGCAACAAGAGTGAAACTCCGCCTCAAAAAAATAAATAAATAATGAATTAAAAATAAAAATATATTAGATTTTTTACAAGATTACTCCTACTTTCAAGAAGCATAGAATAGAATAGAGCTTTATGATTTCTGATTTATAGTTATTACCAAAATTTGAAGTTACCAGTAATATGATTTTTCTAGGATGAAACCCAGAAAATTGTCTTCTCATAATTACAGAGGAAAAAGAGAAAACATAAGGGTGGAGAAAGAACACTGTAAAACAGAAACTAGAGTGAAGAACATTGGATAAAAGGAGAAGGAAAAAATAAATATACTCTGTAAAGAAAGCATTTCATTCCTTTGAAAGTGGATCAATTCAGTTGTTTAGGGAATAGAAGTGCCATGATTATTTTTCTTTACCAGCCACTGGAATATTTCTCTTTAGCAAATGGCAATAAATCAAAAGATGATGGGATGAGGCAAAAGCTACTTTTCCCAATCTTATTTATGTCACTGTGATTCCTAGTCTGAACCCTGTGGTTCACTATAGGTGTTTAGACCACCCAGATCTTTGAAGCTTTAGATGAAATTCAGCAATGAGTTTGTAGGAAGACATCACTACTGTGCTCTTTCATGGCACCACACGGTGCTGTTTCTTAAACCAAAGACAGGCTGTCATAGTAAGTATATTGAAGACTGGTAAATCCCATTCGTGACAGATTGGTTAAAGTTAACTCTTCTCTGACTATGGAATAGGTTAAAAACACCTAAAATTGTGACTTTGGTACATTGACCTAGTTTAAAAAAACTCAGTATGATAAACTGGCATTGTGGCTTTTGGTTATAAAAGGGAAGTACTTGGGAAGCAAGTAAAATTTCAGCATTTACATTCAATAAATGCACTAGAATAAGCTACCAGACTTTTTTTTTTAATGATGTAATATGACAGTGAGGGAAGGAAACCAATCTTAATTATTCCTGTAATTAATTACTTTTGGATTAATAAAACCTCAGAAGGCACTATAAATTGTGGAGAAAATAGATTCATTATAGTTTTAAAATACTTCTAGCTATTCTCACCATCTTACTGTTACCCTAAAGCTATTTTCTTTAAGATGTGTTTTGTAGAAAACATCAGAGTACATGTTTAATGATATGAATTTACTGTTGCCACCATATTGTTTATGGGAAGCAGTTCTTAGCTTTCTTCATCCGCCTTGTGGAAAAAGGTGAGTAACTGCTGTTTGAAATTTTATTTATATTTTAAAGAAATTGAGGACAAACAAGGAGTGAAACTAGCATTTGAAACTCTTAATTTCAATTGTTTCTTCTTTACCTTACAAGATATATATTTTTCTCTCTTTAGGGTATCTCTTGTCAGATTTAAGGCTTATTTAAAATGAAAAGAAAGCTGGAGCAATTTTCTTTATTCCATTTCAGTCTCCTAAGGCCTATTTCCCCCTGGTGAGCTCATAGCAACAGGGGGGTTTAAGGGAATTCAGCTTTCTGCAAATTAATGTCTCACATCATGAAAATTCAGGACTTTTTTTTTTATCTTGAAAAGTAATACAGTGAGTGCGAGTATTATTTCTTGCCAGCGGGTGGAAGATGAATGATTTTGTCACAGTTTTACTGCTTGATGAGCAGTGTCCTGAGGGTCAGGCTTAAGTCTGTGTCACTATGCTGCTCATTACTCTTGAGCTAAATAAGGGCTGATTGGATCTAAATTGCCTAGCACATGGGCCACAGATGAGCTCAGTGAGCAGGGGATGACCTGCTATTCAGTCTGGGAGTAACCCCGGTGTGCAAATGCAGCATTAGAACACTGTGGGAGAATGAGAGGCTACCGGCTGCTGCCAGCAAAAGAAATCGAAATGTAAAAACTCTTTGATGCTGTGATGTTAGAATTTGAAATGTAGGAAGTGACAGGTTGATGGTACTTATCAGCTTTGGCTGGATTAGAGAACAGTGTCATCTTGCTTATATAATGACAGAAGAATGAAGTCAGCAGCTAACTACTGTGCAGAGCAGAGCCGCTGCTGTTGCCACAGCCAGTCATTGCTGCCTCCTACTGGCAGTTTTCCTGGAAACTAGTAAAATATTATAAAGAAAAAATCCTCCTTGTTGGTTTCAAGGAATCTTGAGCTCTTTGGTGGTGAACAGCCGCTAGTGAAACAATGCAAAAAAAAAATATATATATATATATATATATATTTAAAACATGATTAATTGTGAAAAAAATCAGAAATTGGGAAGTTGATTGTTCTAGAATTTTCTAGTGAACCAAGGATTAATCCATTTATGAAGTGAAACTCCCAGGGCAAGAAACCTTGTACACCCTTCCTGGAATAGTATTCTTTCAGGGGGCCTCAACTGGGTTGGTTGATCTCTTAATTACGTATTTTTTTCATCATCAGTAACAGGACTGTGCAAACAACTAATCTTTAAAATCCAGAAACCACAGTGTTAGCACAGTTTGAAAGGCAGCTGATAAAAATATAAAGTAAAAAATGCCCCGATTATGTGGCTTATGCTGCATAAATCTCTCTCTTAAGGAGGAGGTGGGATGGAAGAAAAATGTTTCTCCTATAAGTCAAATGATTTGAAAAAAAAAAAAAAACAAAAAAAATAGTAAAATCTTATGATATAAGATCTCTTTGTTTCATTTTACTCCTACAGCTGTAATTTTTTAAGAAATCAATATTAGGCTGCTATTATATATATTTCTGGTGTTAAACTTAGAAAATGTAGATGGATTTTTTAAAAAGTTATTTAACTCACCATGCTGAGAGAACTACTATTGATATTTTGTTGTATTCTTCTACACATTACTATTCATATACTTTTTTAAAACCAAAAATAAGATTAAATGCTGTTTAGTGGGCTGGCTTCTTCGCTTACTATATCATCAACAACTTTCCATATTGATGACATCTACATTATTATTGGTGTTCATTGTGTAGATATACCATAATATTCCATGGTGTGGATTAACTATTTCTTATTTGTGAAAACTTCTGCTATTTTGAATTTTTCACCATTAGATACAAGGCTGTGGGGAATGTGCTCCTGTGTGTCTTGGCAGGGCTCTTGGGTATTGTACAAATTGTGTGCTGCATAACCTCAAGGGTACCATTCACAGCAGTGTAAATGAGGCTTTGATCTTCATAGACTTGTTTGATTATGTGTAGAAGGTATTTTTTTTAATGATTTGATTTAAAAAATAGAACCTTAGATGTAATTCTTAAAAATGAATGGGAGCCATAGCGTATGTTCAAGATCCAATTACATATATCCAACAGATGCAAATTTTTAACTAGTTGAAAAACCTTAGACTAGAAAATTTTTTTTTAACTTTTTCCAGATTTTTAAAACAAAGCTGTAGTTCTGTAGATGGAAAAACAGATAGGAGGCTTCTAGAGCCTGTGGTGAAATGATAGGTAAAAGGATTAATAAATTAACTTTTATTTTCCAGTATTAGTATTTTTTCTATGCTTGTTAGTATAGGTACCCCACTATTTCTCTAAGCCTTTTTTCTTACTATTAATATCAAATATCAAATAACATTTTCAGTGTAATTTCTGAAGCAGTTGAAGGCTCTAGAGAGTTTTTAATGCCTCTCTTTTACATTTTTATATTATCAAATTTATGTATCTTGCAAAGAATGTAAATAATACAGAATTATATGTAGTAGAAGATGAAACTCATTCTTTTCCTAAACCCTACCCTTCGTCTGCAAAGGGAGCCACTATGAACACTTTGGAGAATATTTTTCCCAGCTGCTATTGCTTCTCCTTTTATCTACACTGCCTCCTTTACCACCTGTTTTATTTTGAAGGGTGGGGGGACAAAAGTGGGATTATACTATGGAAATTTCTACAACCTCTTTCTTTTTTTTTGAGGTGGAGTTTTGCTCTTGTTGCCCAGGCTGGAGTACAATGGCGTGATCTTGGCTCACCACAGCCTCCACCTCCTGTGTTCAAGTGATTCTCCTGCCTCAGCCTCCTGAGTAGCTGGGACCACAGGCATGCGCCATCATGCCTGGCTAATTTTGTATTTTTAGTAGAGATGGGGTTTTTCCATGTTGGTCAGGCTGGTCTTGAACTCCCGACCTCAGATGATCTGCCCACCTTGGCCTCCCAAAGTGCTGGGATTACAGGCGTGAGCCACCATGCCTGGCTGCAACCTCATTTTCTTCACAGAAAAAAATATCAAAGACATGTTACTCTGTCTACAGACACACACACACGCACACACACACACAATGTGCTCATGCACTGTTTAAAACTGTGTAATATCTCAAACTTCATGTATATAAATCAAACGACATTTAACCCAGTGAATGTTTAGGAACTGTACATAGTTTTTAGTTGGCTTGGCTCTTGTTTCCAAGATCCTAGTTGCTTAAAAATTTGATTTGCTTAGCTTATCTAACTGGGATATTCACTGTATTTCAATTTTGTGGGTCATTAATATATCCATTGTCAAAACCATTCGAGCAAATTTTCACTTCAGTCATTTCGTATGTGTGAATCATACATAGAATAGTCTTTTGCTTATAGTAAAAAAAAATTACTGTATTTTTCAAAATGTTACAAATGTGAATTTGAATCCTGACTCTGCTCTTTCACTGTAGTCTTCAACAAGTCTTGTCACTTCTTTGAACCTCAGTCTTTCTGACCTGTAAAATGTGTATAATGATACGTATTGAAGAGCTGATTTGGAGAATAAAAAAGGTAATATATGTCATGTCTAACAGAGTACCTAGCGGTGATTGCTTTTATAATCATTACTGTGTGTTGGTTTCAGAGAAGTAAAGTGAGAGAATGGTTTATTAGACAGAGTTTTCCATTCTAAATTAAGATTTTTTAGGGCTCCATTCTGAATCAGTACAATGATAGGTATTCCATGAAAAGAATACTATTTATGCTTTAAGTACATAAATTGCTTTCTTGGTCACATCTCTGTCCCCTTTTATTTTTCTTATGTCTTTGGAGAAAATTCTGCTGTATTAATTTTGTGCTTATGCATGAAACAGAAATGTCTGTATTTTCCAGCCAGTACACTTATTGAGTGCCCATCAAGTACCTGCCATGACAGACTTTGTGCTGGTATTGGAGAAAGTAGAGATGCATAAAATCAGAATGCTGCTCTTAAGTGCCCCACAGTGTAGTGAGGTAGACATATAAACAAATAAATGAAATACACTGTGATGGATAGAATAATAGACAGATGTTGGAGACTTTTCTTAAAACTTCCATGTCACTTACAGAATTTTCTCTGAGATTGCCCTACATAAAATAAAGCATGTGATTAGATTATGTGGCAGTAAGTCAGCTACACTATGTCATATAGATGATAGGTGGCAAATATTAGAAGGGAGGAATTTTAAGTCTTTAGAAGTTTGTGTTTATTTAGATAGCAGTTCAAAAGTTTTTAAAGTTTTTCCTGACATCTTTCACACATTCCATTAATAATAAAAATAATTAACTTTGCTACTTGTACACATATTTAAGGTCTTGAGTGAATTGTTATTATAGCACTGTGTTATTGATACACTTTGCCGCATTTCTTTCTTCTGACATCTACTTTTCTACTTCTGACATTAGGTGTCAGAGAATGGGAATAGAAGAAAAATAGATGTCAGAAGAATATTTTAATATGAAAAAATAGATTCTAAAACCAATGTAGTATTGCTTTGTGCATTTTAAAAAGTTTATGTACATGCTAACAACACGGATGCTACATAGAGCTGTGCAACTTCCTTTTTTTCTAATGCATTACACTTTTGAGGTATACTACTAGAAGATGAAGATTTTACATTAGGGAAATGAAAGATTAAGTCAAGAAGAAGAAATCTTTTGATATGTTTGCTTTGAAAAGCCTATAACACAGAATGTGGATTGTTCTGATACCCTCTTATTAAGTAATCTATTTTTTCTTTTAATATTAATTTGCCACAAAATTGTATTAAATACATCAATCTTCTATACATTACGTATGTTGCAAATATATTGGCCCCACTTGAAATTTGCATTTTATGTATTTTTTTGGATGTGTAAAAGTTTTAAGGGATTTTTATATATAAATGTCATAATCTTAAAAAATTATATACACACACACAAAAGTAAACAGCTAACAGTTTTTTAATTGTGGTTTCCTAAGAGGAATTCCAATGTAATTCAGCAAATGTTTTTTGAATGCTTCTGTGTCCCAGAACTGTGCTAGTAAGTACTCTTGTGTACATGAAAATGTTCCTGCACTTGTAGAGCTTATAGTATAGTAGAAAGCATTTATACTATCATGCCATTTAATGCCACCAAGTTTTTATGTCTCCATGGTCATTCCTTTTTAAATTCTGAAATGGTTGGACCATTAATTTGATACAAAATATGGAATCTCTTACATTCTGCAGACTACTCATGGAAGATGGTAAGTGGCCTCTGGAATATAAGAAATTACATATATTAGGTTGAATTAATGGTCCAGCTATTTCAGAATTATATTACAGTAGAAGTTTTGTGAGAACGTGTAACCAAAATATCCCTTGTTTCCCAGAAGGCAAGTGTATTTTGCCTAATTTAGAGATTCAACACAGTTCAGTCTTTCCATGATTTCTATATGGACTAATACAACACAGTTCAATCTTTCCATGATTTCTATATAGACTAATACAGTCATGTCTTGTCTTTTGGTATGCTGTTCTGAATTTGTCATTTAGAATGTACTAGTGGGCACCAGGAACTTGAATAACTTAAATATATGAACTTGTTTACATGTTGGACAGATGTATTTATTCTCATTGGAATAATGATTGTGGGAGAATGAGTCAGATTAAATTTCATATACATAAATGAATCTTTTCTCTTACTGTTTTTTATGGCATTTATTTTGGAAACCCTGAAGTTAGAGAATCCTTTCTTCACCCTGTTGTCTGCTTTAGTTCTTTTCTTTATGTTTAATACAAAGATTCAAAGTGAAGGGGATAGGTTAAAATTGATACCTGATTCTGTTCACTTATTATCTTGCATATTAAGCACTTTTTATATCTCCTTGGTTATTCATTAATACAGTATCTACATTTATTTTAGGAGCAAGAACTACTGGTTTAAGGATATATAAGATTTTTAGGAAAAAGCAAAAGGTTGGATATGAAGTGATGGAAAGAGCCTTTTGTACCTAATTCAGCTCTAACTCTGGGACCTCAGGCAGGTCCCCATATTTTATTTCTTTCATCTGAAGGATAAAGGATTGGATTAGATTACTTTAGTGTTTCTAATTATATCAATTATATATTGAATATTTTAACATTTTTAAGCAAATTTGCTTTTCTCTTTAAAGTTGATATAGGAAATGGAAATGTGATTTACACTGCCAGCACGATTAAATTAAATTTTACTAAATTACCATTATTTAGTTTTCTGCTTATATAGAGCTGCTTTTTCTCACTTTATGTAGCATGCATAAAATAAAATTACAAAAAAAGAATGACATAGGAAAGACTTTTCTTAAGCATCAATTTATAGTGCTACAAATATTATCAAATATTTACTTTGAGTGATTTTTAGATATGTATTAGTTAAATAATTTAGTCAAAAAATACTGAGATAGCTGTGTTATTCAAGAAATCTTTTTCGATAGAGACATAATAACTATGTCATAGTTGATTACTAAACAGCATATTTGCTTAGGGCCTTTTGTATGTCAGAGACCTTAAGCAGTTTGAGTTCTCATTATCTTTTGCTTTGGGTTGAGGAGAGATTTGAAGAGAAAATTACTAATAAATTGGTTGTAATTGTAGATAGCTTGAGGTCAGTGAAGGTAGAAGAGTACCCAGGCAAGTATTTCTTGGGTGCTTTGTATGGACTTACTCTCTTACCGGTACTAGATAGGATATGAGAAAAGCACAAGATATTCTCTAGTTGGAGTATATGATAGCACACAGAATATTAAAAAGTAGTAGTGGGATACTGTAGTAATTCAGTAACGCTTTTGAGTGCTATTAGTGCAAAATGCTTTTTGGTTTGTGTGCAAAAATAAGGATTAGATTCTGTTCTTGGGGAAATTATTTTTTAGTAAACCGTACATGTGTATAACTAGTGTAAAGTGAAAATTAATGAGTAATGAACACTTGAAGATATTTGGGGGATTCATCAGTAGGAGAAGGAAGAAAAAGGGTGGAAAGAAAGGATTAGGAAAGATATTTTGAAATAGATGGCCTTTGAACTGGGTATTCAAGAAGTAGGATTTATACCTGTGATAAGGAAGGAGGAGGGGTAGGGAGAGCCTCTTGAAAGAGGTTGGATGTGAGTGGCAATTACCTAAGTTGTTGAAGAAGAGAAGTGAGGAAAAAAATGCTAAAACAGGAGAGTGACTTAAGAACTGGAAGTTGGGACGGGTTAAATGTTTTTTAGGTAGCGATACAAACTAGTCTGATGAATGCAGAGGATACATGCTCCAGTAGAAAGTTATACCAGATTATGAAGGACTTTGAAGTTAGGGCCAGAGTGTAGACCTGGGTGAGGAGGAAATCAAAGACTATAGGTTTTAAGTAGAGGGGTGTGATGAGAGCAGTTCTTTATACCCTTCATATGCTGTTCTGTCTCCCTGAATCATAAGATCCTTGACAGAAAGACCTTACCTGTTTCTTTCCCTTAATCCGTCTGCTTGAAATGCTCCTTGATTTCTTTTCTGCCTGGAAAGTTTATTTCCTTTCGGGTGTAAGTGAAATATACAGTTTCCCCTATTAAGGGTTTCCAGGTTCCCCAAGAGGCAAGTGTTGTCCTTCTTGTTTGCCCTGTTCATATTTGTATCACCCAGAACATTTACCACTTGAAATATCTCCTTCACTAGACTGATACTTATTGAGGGCCGGGAATTTGTCTTATTCATAATTATAACTTCAGCACTTAGGTATCCAGCTAAAAGTGCATGACGTGTCTGTTGAATGGTGATTATATAGATGGTTCTGGCAGTAATATGCCCAATGAATTGAAAGAGAACTTTAAGCAAACTTTAAGCAAGGAAACTAGGTAGGAAATCATTGTGGTAATAAAGGCTAATAATACAAAAATGCCAAAGTAATTTTTAAAAATACATAAAGGTAGGAGAGTACATTAGTTTTGAAGTCATGACTGGGATTGAGTGATAAAGGGAATAAAGGAAAGGAATGATCTGATGACTCAGGTTGGTCCTGTATGTAGTCAGGCAATAATATTTAACCAACATTTTCAGTAATTAGGAAATTTTAGGAATTATGACTTAGACAAACCTAATAGCTTCTTATACTTAAATACATCTTTTACTTATGTTTAACTACTGATAAAATGTTTCACTGTTCCTGTGGTCCAAGATTTCTCTCATTGGTGCTCTTGACCTTATCACCCTAAGGATATCAAAACACTTTAATATCATCTCATTTTTTCTTCAGTTTCAGCCATATAAATGCAGAGGTTGGAAATTTTCAATGATTTCCATATGCCTGTATAGTTCTTTTCATGTGTAATGTTAAGAGATTTTGGAGGGGATAGTCCAAATATGAGACATACCTCTTAATTGTACTCCTTCAGCAAGTTGACTATGTATTTGTTGTCTCTTCAGTTAAGAGAAGGTCTTATTTTTTCTGAACAGGGTTAATTAAGCCTTAGTGCAGTGCTTGGTACACAGAGATCTGACTTAGAATCTTCCTGTGACTGGAAGACTGGTGTGACCACAGTATTTCCCCTGACCAAAGAGAGAGGAGAGCCTCAAGTGAGCCCTTGCTTTACAGCTTCTGAGAGTTCCCTTTTGAAATAGGGTGATGACCTTTAACAGATGGTTACATTTATGTGATAATTTTTTTTAAAGCAAATAGTTGTAATGAAATTATGTTTTTAGGCCAGAAATATATCTTAATTCCTATGACTTACATGTTTTGTACATTGAAGTATAACACACAGCATTAGGCCAGAGACTTCTGTTCCCTATTTCATATACAAACACAATTGACCAGAGGAGCACTTGATTCCTTCAATTATTGCCCTCTGAATCCAGGAGTGATATGGAGCAAACTAATCAGAAGCAAACTTGATAGAATCATTTGCTCTGCTATAATTTACTTACAACTCTGGAAAACTCAATTATGGAAAAATGAGTGGAACATTAAAATCTTTTTGAGAAAGAGTTTACCACAAAGTTGTATTGCCTATATATTTAAAATAGAGAATTCTCACGAACATTTTAGTTTTTTGACTGTAGCTTAAAGTGCTGAAGTTTCACTACATTAAAAAGTATTATAATTTTAAAGATATTATATGATTAATTTGGCCTTTACTTGTCTTTAACTTAGGGTTAGGTTATATTTTATTTCAGTTAATGATGGGAAAGAAAGAGCTCCAAGGTAGTGTTAACATAACTTAAAACTTTTAAATTGCCACTATATTAAATCATTAAAAACAGTAATTTTAGATAACTGTTATTCTACCTAAAATCTAAACATTGGACAGTACTTAGTTTTATGCCAACTTTGTACTGAGTAAATTTGATATGGTCCTTATGATGGGCGTTTAGTGTCTCTTTTAGCCATGTTTAGATGGTATTGAAAATTTGTATTCTGCCTTTCTTTTTACCCCTTTCAAAAAACATCTTAGAGACTTTCTTTTTAACAAAAAAGTCTTTCCCCACTTCTCCAAGTGTACTTTTGATAGGTATATTGTTTGACTGTTAGGACAAGAATTATGATAGATACAAACACCATTGAATTTCTTTGTTTTCTGTAGGATAAGAATATAAGAACATAAAACAGAATTTTGTTTTATTATATAGTTCATTATAAAAAGCATGTTAATTTAGTGCTTATATTGAAGTTTTTAAATTTAATGTGAGACATGTTTTCCTTTAATTTTACTGAAGGTCTAGTGTGTGTGTGTGTGTGTGTGTGTGTGTACATGCGAGGTTCAGGAGAAATCAGTTTTGAATATTCTCCAGCAGCCTTTTTTTTTTTTCCTTGTTAAATGTGTGCTATAAATTGTGCTTCTTGAAAGAGGTAGGAAGGAATGTGGAAAAGGAAAGTAGAGAAATTAAAAATCATTTCAATAAAATGCTTTAATTTATGCCTCTGCAGTTAAGCAGTGCTCCTGGTTAACAGAAATACCCTTCAGCTACACAGGATTTTGGAGGGTTGGAGGGCACTCATTTGCACATAAATAGCCATTAACTGATAAATTCCCAGAGGTCTCCTGTTGCATGTTAGTGGTTCTGACCTACTTAGCTAGCTGGAATTTGTTTTACAGAATTATTATAATTCTATCCTTGGTGCTTAAACTTTGTGATTAATGCATGCCTCACAATACAATTAAAGTATAATTACACAGTTTTGCAGTTTCCTATTGTGGAGTTATTATTACAAAGATCTGGATTTTGCAAATAGAAGAGTTACGGTTTCCATATTTCTCACTTTTGCTGTTATTAGGTGATTATCTTAAATGGGACCATTTTATGTCTGAAGAAGGGATTGGAGGGAAGGTGAATCATTATTAAATGTAGCATTTGTTAGCTTGGAAATGATTGGGTCAGCTAATGTGTGGTCATTTTTGCATGCTGTCTGCATTGACGTGTCACAGGCATTCTTAAAACTGTTTTGTGCTTTTCATTGTTGCTTTTTCAAGTGTTTCTGAATTATAGTAGAATCTTCACACCATTTTCTAAGAAAAGTAGTGTTGGGTTAAATGTTAGGAAACAGTAGAGAGACACAGTGGGTCTCAGGAGATCTAAATTCTGATGCTGACACTTGCTGCTTAGTTATGCAGAACAATTCATGTCCCTGAAAGTTTGTCGCGTCATCTGAAAAATGAGTAGTTTAGACTAGAAAGGATTGGAAAACTAAGGCACTGTTGGTCAGATCTTGTCCATAGCCCATTATTGTGTAGCCATAGAACTTAGGATATTTTTTACATTTTTAAAGAATTGTAAAACAACAGGAAGAATATGTGAGCTAGACATTGCATCTGTAGGCACAGCAACTTAGTCTGGGCAACATAGGGAGACTTAAATGCTTAACCCTGTCTCTTAAAAAAAAAAATACGTGGCCGAGTATGGTGGCTCATGCCTGTAATCCCAGCACTTTGGGAGGCCGAGATGGGCAGATCACGAGGTCAGGAGATTGAGACCATCCTGGCTAACATGGTGAAAACCCGTCTCTACTAAAAGTACAAAAAATTAGCTGGGCATGGTGGCGCACACCTGTAGTCCCAGCTACTCCGGAGGCTAAGGCAGGAGAATGGTGTGAACCTGGGAGGCGGAGCTTGCAGTGAGCTGTGATCGCGCCATTGCACTCCAGCCAGGGCAGCAGAGTGAGACTCCATCTCAAAAAAAAAAAAAAAAAAAAAAAAGACACTGTACATGGCCCTCAAAGCACAAATATTAAAAAAAAAAAAAAATTGCCAGCTCTCTGGCTAGATGTTCTCTAAGGCTCCTCTCAATTGACATTCAGTATTAAATTATAATTATAGTTGATTTTTTTTTTTTTTTTTTTGACACTGAGTCTCACTTCATAGCCTAGGCTGGAGTGCAATGGCACGATCATGGCTCACTGCAGCCTAAATCTCCCTGGCTCAAGTGGTCCTTTCACTTCAGGCTCCCGAGTAGCTGGGACTACAGGTGCATGCCACCATGCCCACCCCCTACCCCCGCCTAATATTTTTAGAGGTTGGGTCTCACTTATTGCCCAGGCTAGTCTCGAACTCCTGGGCTCAAGTGATCCTCCTGCCTTGGCCTCCCAAAGTGTTGGGATTACAAGCATGAGCCACTGTGGCCAGCCCTAGTTGATTCTTTTAAAATGCTAATGTTTTATAGCTCTATGCATTTGTTTTGGGTTTCATTTCTTTCACGTTCACTGTTTAGAGTGATCTGTGATGTCATGCCTAATACCTGCCTCTTCAGTGTCCATTATACATCCAGTTAATGTTATCTTAACCATGAGGATGGTAAATTTTCTGAAGATTCATAACTTGAAATTTAGGTTTCTACTGAAAGGAATTCCTAGTAATAGATACTAAGATGTCAGTTCTATTGAAGGGGAGGCATGGGGATGAAATGCTTGACTGACTTTGAAACACTTAACAATGTCAGTTTGGAACACTTTGAAAATTTTATCCTGTTTTATAAAAAAATACAAATACATGCCAAATAATATTGTTTAATAAACAACAACAACTTTTTCTATAAATTTTTTCGGAGCATCAGTTAATCTATGCTGCTGTGTTACAGTAGGGTTTGGCATTCCTCACTGTGTCATTGAACATGGAAAGTATGGGCCACTGTTAAAGTTTGGCTGCCTTTAAGTGGTAGTCAGCTACTACTGCTGGAGAAATTTAGCATCATATATTGTTTACTTGTTAATATGCATTAAATATAATGAGCTAAGTACTTTTAAACCACTTTTATTCAATATTGTGGGGGAAAATTTAGCCCCTTCCAGAAGAAAGAGATGGTCAGAAACAGCTGCTTTGTAAAGTTGGCATACAATCATTATATTTCTCCAAAGAAAAAATGGTTACCCTGTAATAATCGGTCTAATGAATTCAGAAATTCATTGATTGTCCCAGCTCTGGGTAGATTAGGTAGAGACTTGCTTCAAGGAGTGGAATTTATGAAATGTTTGCTGCATCCAGCAAGCAGAGCTGCTATAATACAGCTGCCTCCTCAGTGGTTTGCTTTGATCCTGTGGAATGAAAGGACAGGAGGATCAGCTCAGGTCTAAATGAGATTACAGCTGGTTCTGCAGCTTATCTGGTCTATTGCCAACTAGTGTGGCTTTGCACGTCCTAAGGGGTTTACAACAGAAACTGTTTATTGAGTATCATCGGTTTACTCAACACAAGCAGGCTAATCCTTCCCAGCCTCAGCATGTTGTAGAATTGTGCAGGAGCCAAACCAAAAGCTGGTGTAGCCAGACCCTCTAGAGCCCTTTGTCTCGCTGTATATTGATTTTTACCTGAGTTAAAGACAGTAAAAAAAATAAATAAATAAATAACCAGTCCTGTTGTGAGCAAAAGGTTAATCTTACCTAAAATCTTACAAAAAGCATCTGTTAACCCTAGAAGGGACAACCTCCTTTTTTTGCCTTTTTAGTCAAGTGGGATTTTCTAGTTTCGAATTTTGAAGAACAAGATAAGAAAAACAGCTTAAAAGATCTTGCTAGGCATTCCAAGTTAAATGCTTAAGTCTCTTCTAGTAGTGCAATAACAAAAAGCTTTGTATGTGGAATATGGGTGATGTGTTTCTAAGTAGTAAGTTTTTGTTTTATATCCTTTTTGTACAAAGCAATTATTTTTTTTGATGTGGCAAACAAAATGCATAAAAACAAGGCTGGAAACCTTAAGGAAAAGAACTCAACTGCCAACATTAATGACCAGTAGTCATCTTAACCTGATCATCCCTTGATTAGTAGTATAGTTCTTTAATGAATAAATGTTGGTGATTAAGAGTATTATAAAGATACACCTCTTATAAATAATTCTGTGTGTGCTTTAGTCTTATTTTACTATTAGGTACTCTTTTAAACCTTCAAGTGTAAGAGTTTAATTATTACAGTTAAATCTTGAACAAAGATGGTTTATAGTGAAAAATGCTTTGGAGTCAGATACACCTGGGTTATAATTCCATTTCTGTTACTTAGTGGTCAAGTTATTTAACCTCTGAGTCCATTTTTTCATCACCAAACTGTAGATGATATTATTTACTTTACAGTATCTAAAAAACCAAATTAGAAAATACTAGAAAGTAGTACTGAGTTAATCAGGTTAGTCAACGCTAAGGTAATAGCTCAGGAACCCAAAGTCATTGAAGATTATATGCATAGGATCCCTCCCATAATGCTAGAAAGGATATTTAAAAGTTGTGTTGCAGCGATCTTCGCAGCTTTGCTCTATATATATAGATCTGAAACATCCATTGCCATATTTAAAGGTATATGATCTCAGGCAAGTGGATAGAGAGGTTGCCAGGTAAACACCCTTCTGTTAGTGCACAGGAGTAGCTACTTGGAAAGCCATCTGTATGAAATCTATGCTAGTTTAAAATTCCTAGGAAGGCCTGAATAGTAAACTGTTATTTAGGATAGGTGGGTGAGCTCTATTTATGTCCTTTCCAGCTTGAGTGATTACTCAGTTGTTTAGTACACAGCAAAATATATGTAAATATTGTCATCTGTGTTAAGTGCTAAGTAAAAGACAAAGGTATGTTGTTATAAGAAGAATACAGTGGTCTCTTGGTTTACTTTCTCCTAATTGGCAGTGAACATGTGTCCTCTGCTATATGTAAGCACAAAAATGTTACTGTGGAAACATTTGTAGGCTTTCTAAAAGTATTGTTCGAGGGAATAAGCTAAGACTGATATTTATCTTAAACACATAGCTTGTCCAATATTTAAACCTAATGGACAAGATGTGTACCAGTTGAAAATGTAATATTTATCCAGTCATTTCTATTCTGTCAATCTAGGCTCTAAAGCAATAGATTGCACTCATAGAGTAATAAATTTTTAGTGAATTTGGAGATAAAGGCTATTGGTGGTGATTGCTTAAACTCTTTTTGCTCAATCATCTGAATGGTGCAAATCAAAGCATTTTGTCAGACTGTGAGAAGTTTCACCTAGATATTGCTTCCCACACACGCGGGTCACCATATAAATTACATTCACGGTTTTACAGCATAGCTGGTGCTGGAAGTTAAATTGATGCCCAGTGGTGGAACTCGTAAAACATTTTCCTGTTAACACGACCAGGCAGAGTTGACATTGTTGATGGTGGGTTCGATCTAATAAACTATTGGGTCTAACAGTGATTTTTACTGTGTTTCAGAGATGATGATGATACAAGTTTAGTGATCCAGCAGTTCTTCCTGAATGACAGAAAATTAGCTCCACTGTCTATATTACCAAATGCTGGGAAGAGTAAGAGTAAGAGGTGATTGAAGCCTAACGTAACCACATGTTCTGAAAGATCATGAATTATAGGAACAAGCTCTTTAACTCAGTGTATACCTTCTTTATAAAGAAAAACACTGATTTTTCTCAAAAGAATATATTATATATTATCTGTTGGAAATACTTTATTATTACATTATTATTCAAATATGTAGGCTGTGTCCACCTTTCACAATCTTTTACACAGATGTTGTAAGCTGATTATTGTTTCTGAAAGGAAAGCAGGTTTACATTTTGGTTACATTTTTTTCTGTGTGTTTTTTAAAGTTACTTTCTTATAAGGACTTTAAGCTTTATCAAAGATTTTTAATTTTGAACTACAGCAACAGTCAATCTAAACATCTTATTCCCATAAGAGTAACTTTCAGGGGTTAATTTCTACTGGCAGTTACAAACAATGGGTACTGTCTTAAGATTTATTTTGAACTACTTTTGCATTGTTCTTAAAGCTTTATGAAACTTTGTCTTATTTGAAAGTAATTTTTTTTTCCAATTTCTAGTTAAAATTCACAGGATGGTAACAAAGCCCTACTCTTTTATCAGTGTAAGCAAGTATCTTTCCATTTCTTCCTTGTTTGACATTATATCTGCTCCTATAGCACTGTTGCACATTCATACTGAATCGGTGATCTTTTTGTAGTTTTGTTCCATTTTATGAGATATCACAGGTCTTTTACTCACCACTTTAACATTTCTTATCCCAGCATATGCATGGATTTTTTTTTCATCAGGAGATGAGCTTTTTTGATGTGCAGATAAATGTTATCAATGGTGCTACGCAGATGAAACCTGTCATGTACAAATAGCATGTATCAAGCCCTAAGCATGCAGATACCAGATAAATCGGTTCATTTGCTGAAGCCTTGCAAAAAGAAATTAGTGCTATAATAAACGCCTTTGAGGCTCTCAGCCCTAATAATGGAGCTTTATAATAAACCCCACAGATCATTGACTCAATGGATAATCTTTTAGGAAACTTTTTCCCCTCCTCTATCTTTTCCTCCCTTTTAAAGAACTACAGTAAAAGTGGTAAATAGCATCTCTATAGGGAATGTATGTGGTATGAAACTACATATCTGGAAAACCATAATTTAAAATTAAGAAATTTATTTACTGCTAAATATGATATTATTCTAAACGAGCTTATACTTTTTGATGATTTTCATAATTGATCTTAAACATGTATTAGTCACTGCTTTTTCTACATAGAATTCATATTAAACATTCCTCCTAAGTTAGTGCATTTTGTACATGAGGTTACAGTTGGATTGTTGACTACAACAGAGGCACAGAGTGAGGAGATCAAAATAAGGCAGAAGAGGAGTCAGGGAGAGAAATTGAGAGGAGGCATTCAGCTTGTACTTAGAAGTGTTTATAAAGTGGTAGAAAGCAGAAGAAAGGGGATGGGGCTTATACACATTTATGTATACACAAAACTTTACACATAATTTCAAGGAGTTTGCAGATTTCTAAAGATTATATATGTACTGCAGGTTTAGCACTATATTACAATGGTGACTAGACTGTTATTTCCATTAGGGTTTGGTTATACTTTTGATGAATAAACACTTTAAAAAATATCCCTAGGTACTTTTTGACTCTTACTTGACTGAGTTTTGAAATCCAAAAAGAAAAAAAAAAACAAGTCACTATTGGAGCTGATGATGAGGTTTGTAGATCCATTAACACAATTGGCAATGGTCACTAGTTTCTGGTTGTATAATTTACTGCATTTTTTGAGTGTGAGAGAAGTGTTGAGGATGCAGAATGCTTAAGAGGTTTTAGAAAAATTATTTATCAAAGAACACTACTTTTCCAGTGCATTAGCTATTGTAATTATACATTGGTACAATCTGTTCACATAGAATTGGATTTGATTTAAATGGAGGTGGGGGGAAGAGACTGGACATTTTCAATATTTATTGATACATAGTCCGTTAAGGTAAATTATAAAGCAAATTTCACTGTGACGGGAACATTTGGGTTGATGTAGTTAATAATCAGTCAACATTACCATTAGACCCTTTATTTATAAAAATTTATTACCAACAATTAGGAAAAATGCTCACAAATGGACTTCAGCCCTAGCTTACTTACTGTGGAATAGTTGACCTCAAAAATCTTTGGCTCTTTACTTTTAATAAAATGACTCCAAATTTCTTTTTTGAAGCAATGCACGCTCCCCCACATAGCATATAGCCACTAACCACATGTAAAATGTGGTAGAATGATTGCAGTTGTCATTAGAGGGTAGCAGTGACTATGTACTACTGTTTTCGAAAAAGACTGCTGGGATGGTGAGAGCTAAGCTAGTTTTTAGAGGATAGTTTTATTAATTAGCTTTAAAAGGTGGTCTCCATAGGTTCATAAACATAATACCTTACATCTAGGGAAAACTAAAATGAAACTTTTGAAAGCAGCAAGAACTGAATAAAGTTTATTGAGAGGAAATATGATAATATACATAAAATGTCTCAGCATATGTTTCATATAGGTGTTCTGTGCTGGATAGGTAGAAAAATAAAGTAGTTTTTCTTAAAATTACCCTTATCTCTGAAATTCATTTGTCCTGAAACCAGTCCAGAATTTCTTAGATTGTTGGGAACGGCTTCTAGGAGACTTAAAACAGCTATTTTGTCTAAGTCTGCCTTTGTACTATTGTAGATACTACCCTGTGGTTATATTTCTAATAAAATTCTTTGTTCCTCCCACCTCCCACCCCAAGCTTCCCAAGTGTGAATTCCTTTAGGTCAGGTCTGCATCTTTTTCATCTTTGAATCTCTAATTCCTACATAGTGCTTCTTATATGCCCTTTAGAGCATAATATACTATGTAATAACATAGTGGGTAAAACACCACAACAGCAATCCTTTTATTATGCTTACAGATTCTGTAGGTCAGGACTTTGAAAAGCCAAGGGCAGCTCTTATCTGCTCTACCACGTCTGGAGCCTCAGCTAGGATGATTCAATGTCTGGAAGTAACTCTAATTCAATGTCTGTGAGTAACTAAAGGCCGAGACTAGAACAGCTGAAGCTGGAGGATCCAGTTCCTAGATGGCTTCTTCTTCAGTAATACATCTAGTTTCTAAGCTAGAATGGCTGGTGGACAAGCTTAGCTGGAACTGTTGACCTGAGTGCTGTCTGTGGCCTCTCGAACAGGGTATTCTCAGGGTCATTGGACTTCCTACATTGCATTTCAGGGCTCTAAAAGTGAGTATTCCCAGCAAACAAGGCAGAAGCTTTATGGCCTTTTATTACCAAACCTTATAGCCACATAATGTCATGTCTGCTGTGCTCTTTGGTCAAATCAGTCACAGGATCTCTCAGAATCAAGAAGTGTCAAAGAATTGTGGCCATATTTTAAAAATTACACGTTTTTCAGCAAACAGTGGAATAGCCAAAGCAAGACAGAGATAGAGATGCAGGGTGGGGGAGGATTGGGAGGAGGAAGAAAATTAAAGATTGTGAGGTGTTCTTAATATCATAGTAATTATTGGCTCCAGTGCTGCTAAGTTAGATAGATTGGTGGTCTCTTCCAAAATGAAAATGAGGGCATATTCCATAAATATTTTGTTCACACTGTTGCTTGTATTCTAACTTTCTTTTTTAGTCACCAATTCCTAACTGCCCCCCGGCCTGAGCTCATTCTTTTTTCTTCTATGAGAATTCAATACATAACATTTTGGATAAGATCTAGTGCATGTGTGCTTGCACAGTTATACCCTATCCATTTACATTTGAAGAGGAAGATAATTGTATTTGAAATCCCAAAAACCAGTATAACAACTTCACATATTTTATAAGGCATGTACATTTTGTTGTGAGATTATTTTCAGAGATGATCTCACCTCTGAGTGCCTTTAACCCCAAGGACAAAGATCCTGGACCTTAACTAGTGGTCCTACCCACGTGATACTCTGGTAGTAGAAAACTTGGAGACTGACTAGCTTCATATTCAGCCATAATCTCCCCCTCTTTTACTTTCGTTCATTACGTTGTACCCACACACTTGCTATTAAATTTGGAGGATGAGTTCCTGGAAATGGGAGCCCTAACTGAATACAAGCAGTGCAAGTTGTCACAATCAGATGATGATCATTCTGCTCTTCTTTTAGAAATTACTAACCTACGATGACGTCTGTAGTTCCTTATAGTTATAATGCCAAAGGATGTACCCAAGCCTTAATTGTGGCCTTTACCCTCAACCATTTCCTTGAAGGCATCTTGTGATGCTGTAAAACTTAAATTTTAACATCCAGCGTGAAAATTTTTATTTTTTTTGTGTGTGTTAACTTCAGGACTATAACTTGTTGGTCATAATGATGCTTATAGGTGAAGCTGATGCTTATGGGTCAGCACCGAAGCTTATGGGTAGCTCTGCCCATGCTCACTTTTATTAGATGAGAGCATAAGATAACGCTTAAGCATTGGCAAAATGTATAGATATAGATATACAAATGTATAGATATAATTATGTATCTATATATGTGTAGTATGTTGTAATGAGTAATATAGATTCGTATATGTGCAAAGTCACACTGCACATACTCATCAGGTTGGGTTTTTTTAATGAAAATATTTCAGAGACAACTAGCATTGTAACATTAGCACAGTGCAGTTAAAGAGGATGTTTAAATGTATAAATATATTAGGCAATCCTTAATAAGCATTAGATTATCTGGGAACAAACCATGAGGAATATATATGTTGGGTATATAAGTTGGTTTTCTCTCATTTCCAGCTACCTTAAAGACTTTACTTTTGGCTCTAACTTTTTGAGATGACATGATCCTCTATGACCTGTTCCTTATCAATACTATAGTTACATTATACAAATGTATAGTTACATTGTTCTTATCAGTACTACAGTTCCTTATCAATACTATAGTTACTGGCACTTGACTAAAGGTAATACCGTCTACTAGTAATACCACACTGTTTGTGAATCCCTTCATGTACCATGCAATTTCATGTCACTATGCTTTACTCATGTTATTTTAACTTTCTGCAACTCTATTATTTTTTTAATTAACTAATATGACTTCTGTAACAGGTAATGGCATGTCTTCTCCAGGAAGTCTTCTTTGAATCCTGTTTTTTACTCTTTACATACCTCTGTCTCGGCACTTAACTGTACATTCTTTGAAAGGAAGGACTATATTTGATAACATCTAGTACAATGGCTCATGTAATTAACAGACATTGACGTGTTCATTAAGATGATCTGAACTATTAGGTAGAATGATTCCTGAGTCTGATTGTACTCTTCGACTCTAGGTCCAGATTTCCAAAAATATTTTCGATAGTGTTACTTCAATTTTCTCTTTTCATATCAAATTATATCCTCCTGTTATAATTAACTGTCCCTCGTAACTTTCAGTTTTTCTCCCCCAAAATTTGGCAATGACAGGCTGCTCCTTCCTTTCCCTCACAAAATGCGAAATAATTAGTGTTGGCTTTTTCCTTCATAAAGTAACTGAAAATGCACATTAGCTCTTACCTGGATGTTTACAGAAGCTTCTTAATTAGTTTCTTTTATCTTTAGTCAGTTCTTGTTCTGACCCATTCTGTTTGCCATTACCTGATTAATCTTTCCCAAAGCACTTTTTTCATTATATCACCCTCCAGTTCAGAATCCTTCAGTGTCTTCTTACCACTTTAAGAATGAAGTCTTGATTTTTCTTTTAACAGCAGGATTAACCATTTTTGTATCTCTAGCATCAGACATAGTGACTAGCACTGAGTAACTTCTTCTGAAGTGAATGAAGAAAACATATGACTGAACAAATGGAACACCATTTGTATTCTTAAATTTATTGCCTTCCAATGCTACTATAAAAATTCTCTATTATAATCAAAGTGGTTACGTTTTTTTCATTCTTCAAACACCTTGTTCTTTTATATATTCCTTTTAAGATGTAAATTATATTACACTTCTGCTTTTCTGGCTTGTTATCCACTTGGATTTTATCCAAAGTCCTTACATGGCTCACAAGATCTTACATGGTCTGGAACCCTGCCACCTCTCCAGTTCATCTGCTGTTCATCTGTCACCCATTGTGCTTCAGCCACTTTGGACTCCTGGTTGTTGTTCCTTGAGTCTGTGAAACTGTGCCAGGCCCAGCACCTTTGCACTTTTTCTTCTCACTGGAATATTCTTCCCCATATACCTGTGTGTTTCCCTCCCTTACTTATTTAGTTCTTTGCTCAAATGTCACCTTCTTAAAAGATGTTTCCTGATCATTGTACAAGTACAATGTTATTGTACAAAGTTCTATCAATCATCATCCCCATACTGTGATTTCTTTTTTATACATAAAGCTCACCACAAGTTCAGGTATTACATGGTTGTATGTTTAATTATCTGTCTCTCATTAGAATATAAGTTCCAGAGGGCAGAGACTTTGTCTGTTTGCTAGTTTTGTACCCTACTGCTTAGAACGTATGCTGTATATGTTGAATTAGAGAGTAAGTGATTTGATTTTATATACCTTTGTGTTTTTACTTTCCTCCTTTTCACCTAAACACTCCTTACCTATCCTTTGAGAATCTCTTCCACGCCCATTTTCTTGTGCTTCCCCCCAAAGGTTTTTCTCCTCTGAGTTGGTAAAACAATCTTATACTTTGTTTTGCACTTATACCTATAGAGTAAAGGAGTATTTTCAATCCTCCTCCATGACAGGATTATGTATGATCTTGTTACTTAGTCTATGAACTGCTAGTTGCATGGTCATTGCCTTATCTGTTGCAGGAATTAAATAAGGCCTATTCAATAAATGAAATAATTATTGATCAGAAAATCAAAGATTGTTTATTGAAAATATATATGCCAGATCTATTCTAAGTGTTTGGCCTTTATTAATGTAATTCTGTAGGTACTATTATTATCCCTTTTTTTTTAGATGAGGAAAGCCAAGAAGGTGACTGCCCACAGCATGGTGCACCATAGGATAGCAGCATCTGCCTGGTAGAAATGTAGACCCTCGGCCGGGCATGGTGGCTAACGCCTAGAATCCCAGCACTTTGGGAGGCCAAGGTGAGCGGATCTCAAGGTCAAGATATCAAGACCATCGTGGCCAACATGATGAAACCCCGTCTTTACTAAATATGCAAAAATTAGCGGAGCATGGTGGCACGCACCTGTAGTTCCAGCTACTCGGGAGGCTGAGGCAGGAGAATTGCTTGAACCCAGGAGGTGGAGGTTGCAGTGAGCTGAGATGGCGCCACTGCGCTCCAGCCTGGCACCAGAGCGAGACTCTGTCTCAAAAATAAACAAATGAGGCCAGGCACGGTGGCTCACGCCTGTAATCCCAGCACTTTGGGAGGCCAAGGTGGGCAGATCACGAGGTCAGGAGATCGAGACCATCCTGGCTAACACGGTGAAACCCCGTCTCTACTAAAAATACAAAAACATTAGCTGGGCGTGGTGGCGGGCGCCTGTAGTCCCAGCTACTCGAGAAGCTGAGGCAGGAGAATGGTGTGAACCCAGGAGGCGGAGCTTGCAGTGAGCCGAGATCTTGCCACTGCACTCCAGCCTGGGTGACAGAGCGAGACTCCGTCTCAAAAAATAAATAAATAAATAAAATAAACAAATGAAATGTAGACTGTCAGACCAACTGCGTCAGGAATTAAAAACAAATAGTAAATATTATGATTGGGCCCAATGCTGAAGTTGCAGAAAGATCTTTAGTGAGGCCAAGACATTAGTAAATTTGTAGAAAGATATACAGATAATTTTGGTGGTAGTCAACATTGGGAACTACTTACAATAATAACAAGGAAGTGGATCCTTGTTACTACTGTGTTATAAAATACAGTGAAACGTAACTGAAAAACTTAAGTAATTTTATACTCATAATCATCTACAAAGTCAAGACTAATGAAAATATGAGGGTAAATTCTAAAAATGATGACTTCTTACTGGTATGTTTTCATACCAGTGCTAGTTACTGTTTTTGGGACACAGGCAAGCAACTTCATTTTAGGCACTTCACCCCTTTTATTGTATGTAAGACAGCATTATTATAGGCATGCTTGGTTTGCTAGGTTCATCACTGGATTCCTGATTTGTTGTTCTTTCCCAGTCTTGCAAACTAAGTCAATTTTGGAGCATAGGAAAATTGTAAATTATCACACATCGTTGACCTTTGGAATCCCTATAGAGCCTGGCACTCCCCAGAAGTATTAAACTTTTAACATGTATGCATCTGGTATATCACCTGGGATTAGCTGTTATACTACTTTATAACTACCTTTATTAAGAACTTACATATGAATGAGTGAATACAGCAATGCGACATTTGGAGCATGTATTATTTATTTGTGTAGTAAAATGGTATTTGAGGCAGCTGTAGCATAGTGATTATGAATTGGGGTATTGAAGCTAGACTGTTTGGGTTCAAATCCTGGCTCTGCTGCTTACTAAGAGCATGACCCAAGCAAATTACTTATCCTTTCTGTACTGAGATTCCTTGTCTATAAAATGAGGACAATAAAGTACCTACAGATTAAATTAGTTATAAAAGGTCAAACACTTAGAATAGGGCTAGTACATATATTATCATTAAACAGTTTTTAATTCTCTGGCCAACCCTAATAGTTACTCTTTATTGAATATGTCTTATTTAATTCTTGCAGCAGATGAGGAAATGACCATCCAACTGCTAATTGGCAAAATAGGATGTATACTTTAGTATGTCTGTCTCCAAAGCTTGTATCTTTCTAGTGATGTTCGAATGCCTCTAAGAACATGTTTATTAGGATTTAGAAGCAGTAGTGCATATTGTCTTGCCTTACAGTCTATGAAAGTGCATATTATTTTGCCTTGTCTACAAAGTATTTTTACCTAAATGCTGTGACTTTAATGCTTTAGCAGCTCCATAGAGGACAGTAGGGCCTTATTTCCATTTAACAGATGAAAAACTGAGGCTTAGTAGTTTTCCAGAGTCACAAGCTGATCTTTTCTGTCTTAGACAAGAGCTCATTTGAAGAATTCTCCTTGCATCTCAAGGAGCCCTTATTTTTCTCTGTAATTATATGTGACGGTAAGCATCATTGCCACTGCTGTGCTTTATCATCAAAACAGTCAATAAACTCTTGCTTTGATTTCACATATTCATTCATTCATTCATCCATCCATCCATCCATCCATCCATCCATCCATCCATCCATCCGTCTACCACCTACTTACCCCCTCCTCCACATATGCACAGACACACAGATGTACTGGGGTGTCTGTTACATGGAGGCATTGCAAAGTGTGCTTGAATGCTACTTGCCAGCCTGGTTTCTCCCTGACAATTTGGGCATGCACAGGATTGGGACTCAGGATTGAAACT